>NC_000007.14:147488682-147640197 GCF_000001405.40 Homo sapiens
CAGTGCTATGAGTGACCTGTGATCATCCAGGCTAGAAGCTCTAGTTCAAGATGGAACAGAGAGGCCTTTTTGCTTGGTCACTCTGCCTTGTGTTGACTTTGACTTTACCATTTTCTTACTTGTACCCTAGGCCATTTAAATTATTTGAGCTTCAGTTTTCTCCTGTAGGAATAGATAATTAACAGTGCTCACCTCTTCAAGCCATTGTGAGATTAAATGAAATGATGTACGGAAGATGCTGAGAAAAACTTTGGCTTATGTGGTACTCAATAAATTTTTGTCATTTCATCACTTTCAGAGCAATTGTCCTTTTCCTTTGAACTTCTATACCAATAATTGCCCAAATCACACAATGTGTCTCTTAATTTAATGTCACCATACATTGTTTGCTATCACTTTTATGGCAGATTTGGACTGCAGTGAATGACTGGTTTCCATAGTATTTTTCTCCAGAAGAATTGAAGAGTATGCCTCCTAAACCTATGTCTCCTGTTTTCATTTGTTAGTTTGTGTGTACATGGGGACTTTGTTTTTACGTAAATTATATGTAGGGCTTAGAGGACTGTCATTTGTGAACTGCTCCCCTGAGGAGCCAGGATGTCTCCCTTTGGGATGAGTAGACAACTCAATCCCACAGACAAAGCCAAAGATCACAGAAGATAGTCAGATCACAGGAAAGGGAAAGCCAGTTTTTGTCGTTTAAGAACAAAAGAGGCAAGTTTGTTACAAAATGCAAATACATTAAATTGTTGAAGTTTTAAACTTGAAAAAATTTTCTCATACAGGCATTCCACTCTCCATAAATCCTTTAAGATCTGAATAGTAGCATATCTGAACACCAAACCATGACAAAGGGACTAAAATGATCATGTTGAACAGTTTGTGTTTATTGTATTGACTTATCCCTGCTTCAGTCTCCCAAAAGCACTGTAAGAATGTATCTTTTGCTTGGAGATGGAGTCTTGCTCTGTCACCCAGGCTTGAGTGCAGTGGCATGATCTCGGTTCACTGCAACCTCCACCTCCCAGGTTCAAGCGATTCTGCTGCCTCAGCCTCCCAAGTAGCTGGGACTACAGGCACGTGCCACCATGCCCAGCTAATTTTTTGTATTTTCAGTATAAATGGGGATTCACTGCGTTAGCCAGGATGGTCTGGATCTCCTGACCTCATGATCTGCCCGCCTTGGCCTCCCAAAGTGCTGGGATTACAGGCATGAGCCACCATGCCTGGCCAAACATTCTTATATATACTACTAGTTCCTTGTGTGGAACTGCTCTAAAAATTCCTTAGAATATCCTCAATAATATGAAAACTTTTGGCTAATTTAATGAATGCAAGAGGTTAAAGGATAGTATTTTAGTGTTCGACAAAAATAAGCAATGTTAGCCTTGGAAATTTATTAAATGTCAGATGTGCATTCTGACAGAAAATATTTTTGCAGATCTTTTTATTAAAGGAGAGATTTTCATGTTGCCCAAATATATAGACGTAATGTTTCCAGGGGAAACAGGAGGAATAAACTAGATGACCTATATAATTCTCTTTTAATTTTAAAATCACGAGATTTAAAAATTCTGAAATACTAGTAAGGAACAGGTCCTGACATTGCCAAATAAAGCAAAAGTAAAATTTTTTCTAGCCAATGTTAGAGAAAAATTTAAATGTAAACGGTAACAATTGTACATTCCGTATGCTGGAGCATTTCCTCTGGGTTCATAAATGTGTAAACTGTAAATTGTGTTGCACCTTATTACAGCACACGTGAGAGGCGCAGTGGATTTCAACAGCCCATACCATGTTGTTGATAATCCATTTCACCTATAATTGATATAATTCAAAGAATAATTTTCAAAATAAATTGAATTCTATTTGCTGTAGTCATACTAACATAGAGCATAAAGACCTAGATTTATTGGCACGAAGAAACTTGGTGTCTCTGTCCATTTGGAGTTTCTACAACTTAGGCATCAATGATAACTTGGAGTTTGAGCATTGCTACAAAAACAAGCAGCATTGGGTAGAATTGCGTTGGATATGGTATTAGTCTGTTCTCACACTGCTATAAAGTAATACCAGAGACTGGATAATTTAGAAAGAAAAGGGGTTTGACTCACAGTTCCATGTAGCCGGGGAGGCCTCAGGAAACTTACCATCATGGTGGAAGGCGAAGGGGAAGCAAGGCCCTTCTTGACATGGTGGCAGGAGAGAGAATTGCAAGCGAAGGGGGAAGAACCCCTTATAAAACCATCATCTCGTGAGAACTCACCCGCTGTCATGAGAATAGCATGGAGGAACTTCGCCCATGATCCAATCACCTCCCTCCCTTGGCATGTGGGAATTACAGGTCCCTCCCTCAACACGTGGGGATTACAGTTCAAGGTGAGATTTGGGTGGGGACACAGAGCCAAACCATAGCAGGTATCTAAAATAAAATTTAGATATTTAGCCTTAGGGAATTGGAATCCATCCTTTGGGGCAAGTTCACCTGGCTTGCCAGGTCCTACGTAATATGGCCATGTCTTTAACCTGATTTCCTCCCCTACATCTCCTCCCATTCTCCCCTTCAATGCACTGGCCTCCTTTCAGTTTTTGATGCATGCCCTGCACTCTCATACCCTTGCCCCTCCTATACCACGACCCCCCACCACAGGACATTTGCACATCTACCTCTCTGCTTTGTCTAGTACATTTCTACTCCTCCCTCAGATTTCAGCTCAGCAGTCATCTCAGAAAAGCTTTCCATGGCCCTGTAGTTAGATCAAATCCTCTTATTCTAAAACACACATATGTCTTTTAGCACTAGCAATGGTTATGATTTTGCACTTATTATTCATAATGATTTAATAATATCTTTCTCCTCCACTGGTCTCTGCATCTCTGGCAGGAGGTGGTGCCACATTTCATCCACCAGTTTAAATCTGAGGCTCGCCCAGCACAGACTATGCACGCAGTGAATATGCACTGCCTCCAAGCATTCTTGAATGTCAAAGAGTATCCAGAGCAACAGTGTTTTCTTTAAATTTTATTCAATGCCCTCTTTACAGTAAATTTATGAAGATAGTGAAGCTATAAGGAGAGAGTACACTTACAGGGCAAAAAGAAAAATAGAATCAAGTCCAATAACAAAATATGGGTAAATGGAAGGCAGGGTACTAAAAATAATACCAAAAACTACCACAAGACATTAAACATTATTCTAAGAAATTATATGGAGGAATTTAGGATATTAGCAAAAAAAATCTACATATTTCAAATTATCTTTAAGGAAAATATTGTGCCATGTTAAGATGCCCCATTCATTACTGAAATTTGTGAGAACTATGACATTATAGTAACAATAGCAAAGGAAGTTGCAACAAAGATAATATCTTAGATCAGCACTCTCCAACGTTTTTGGCACCAGGGGCCAGGTTCATAGGAGACAGTTTTTCTACAGACCAGGGTGGGGGAAGTGGGTAAGGGGATGGTTCCAGATGAAACTGTTCCACCTCAGATCACCAGGCATTAGTTGAATTCTCATAAGGAGTGCACAACCTCGATCCCTCACATGCACAGTTCACAATAGGTTTCAGGATCCTATGAGAATCTATTGCTGCCGCTGATCTGACAGAAGACGGAGCTCAGGCGGGAATGCCTGCCTCCTGCTGTGAGGCCCAGTTACTAACGGGTTGGGGACCCCTTACATCATAGAGTGTGGTCAATTACTATACTGGCTAACTATAGGAGTTATTCTAAAATAGATACAGATATGTTTAAATATTGACTAGTACATGACAAGAAGTTTATTTTAAACTCTATAAAATTTGAATAACATGAACATAAAAATCTTTTGATTTATCATGTAATATTATATGTGTATCCTTGCTACAGGGAAGTTATGGAGAGGGGAAAACACTCAGGGTTTGAAATTAGATGTCCTGATGTCAAACCATCAGATCCTTAGGCTATGTGGCCAAACTTACTTCCCCATCAGTTGGACATGTCTAAGTTCCAGAAAAATGACTGTCTCCATACTTTATAAATTCTCTGTTTCCTCAAACACGCTTGCTGCATTAAGTGTGGATTTCACTCATACTTATAGAAGGTGAAGTCAGCTTTTCCAGTCCATGCCACAGGTTACTGACAGCAATAAAATAGGAATGATTCAGATTTAATCACTTTCCTCCCCATCTCTCCGCCCCCGCTCCTCTGTGCTATCTTGGTTTTGTGTTTTTAGACACGTCATTTAATGTCTCTAAACTTAAGTTTCCTTTTGAAAATTCAATGAGATATTGTTTATTAAAGTACTTTTTAATGTACCCCAGAACTTAAAGTATAATAAAAAAAAGTGCTTTTTAAATTCAGAAAATGTCCTACTTTTAAAGAACTTATGCCACTAAGTTTCGAAAAACAGCTAGTCAAATTTTACTTTGAGTGTAAGTCGCATCTACTGATCCGTATACTCTTCATTCGGTACACAGGCCATATTTTCATATCAGTGATTCTCAATGAAAAGACCATAGGATATCTCAGTATTTCAATAAATGCTCTTTGAAAAGATAAAGGTTTTTATTAGCAAGTATAATAGCCACACTAGCTGATTTATATGCATGGAGTACATCTACTCTTTCTAATCGAGATATGGTATTATCTAGTCAGGTTGTGCTTCTGTGTTATCAAGTGAGCAACTACCAAATTCCTTCAATTTACTTTCCATCCCATTCCCACACCATGATCTGTGTCAGATGCTCAGTGTGTCCCTGTTATTAAGGAGTGACTATGGGATCCAACTGCAGGACCACAGGACACTAAGGACCCATAGTGCTACCATCACTTATTCATTCATCAATATATTGAGAGCTGACTCCATTCCATACATGGAATAGATACTGGAGTGTGAAGTAGAGAGGGCAGGAATACTAGGATGTAGCCCCCTCCAAAAATGTGTATAGTTTCATTAAAAATAAAAGTTCTTATCACCTTATTTCCACATCTCTGGTTCACCAGGATTGTGATCTAGGAATAAATTCTATGTATTCTTACCTCTTAGAATCTAGCTTGGCATTTTTCACGCTTACAAAATATGGATACATGTAGACACATAGGGGAAAAAAATGATTTAATACTTTGTCACAAATTATTTGTTTTAAGCAATTATTTTAACTTTTCAGATTGTATATTCAGAGGATTTGTTTGCTTTATTTCTGGGTTTGTTTTTCTAACCATATGGACAGGGAGAAATCAGGGTGAGGTGATGCAACTTCAGCATGGTGCTTGGTAGAGAATATGGTTTTCAATAGAATATATGCAAGTCAAATGTTAATAAGCCCTTGCTCAGCTGTATGTATTCTCTAGAGGAAAAGCTCGCATTCTCACCAGGACTAAAGCATTGGGAGCTAAGGGAAATAATGGCAAGTGATGTCACTTCCTGAAATCACTTTTTGCACAAGGAAACAATCATCCCAGCAGCTCCTTTACTCTCATATTCATCTGGCACCTACACAGAAAATAAGATGGAAAGAGCTGTGAAAGTACTACCTGGGTAGAAATGTTGGAAGGGGATTTAAAGGCCATTCTATCTTTTGGCCACAACCAAATAAATTACACTGGATTAAAATAGTACAGGTCATTTGGAGAAACACAGCCCAAGGACCTCTACATTTCTAAGGCAGACCAAATTTTGAATTAATCCCTTCTTGCTTCGGAATGATGACCAAGATTAAATATAGAAAGAAAGGATTTAATTTCAATTTTGCAAAGACTCTTTCAATAGTTTCAAAAATATGTCTTTCTCTTTGAGTCTTGGCAAAAAAAAAAAAAAAAAAGTTGATCTGCAAATGCATATTGAAAAGCAGTGTGCTGTAAAGACATGCTGTGATCCTATGAACTTCTCCGAAGCTATAAAATGCCAGTGCTAGGTCTTGAGGGAACTGGCATTATTCATTAAACTCCCTGTAGTTTGAATCCCAGTGTATGTTTTATCCAAGGTTCAGAGTGAAGAGAAAAAGGAATAGAAAACACCCATTTTAACACTTTTGTCAGGTTGAATTAAGGAAAAAAATGATATAGGGAAAGAGTCTACTTTAATTTGAAGATAAGGAACGGAGCTTCAGGAAGGTTAATATCTGCTCAGAAAACAGGAAAGAGAATTAGAGTAAAAAATAATATGTGTCTCTCCTTTGATACTTTTTAACTTCTCTGAAACCAAACTGTGTTTGGTTTCCATTTTGACATTAGTTAATAAGTTTCTATGACAAGTCTTTAGCTTTTGAAACTTGGTGTACAGGATTATCTTTAAATCACAGTTTCAACTCATTCAACAATATTATGCATCTCTTTTGTATGTGGCACACTATGTGAATACAAAAGCATAGACGAGAGCCATTTTCCTTATGAAGTAGACAAGGTAGTTTTAAAGGAAAGCAGGATAAGTAATAAAAGCATTAATACATTATAAGAAGGTAACATGTATTTATGTGTCCAACTAGTATCAAGGCAAGTGTGTATGATATGAGAGAAAAACAATATGAACCAAGATATTTGGGAAGACGTTCAAGCAGGAACGGAACTCTGAGCTAAGTTCCTTTCAGAGTTCTGTAGAGAAACAGAACTAATTGTTAAATATTCAAAAAATTTTGAATTGATTGTTTAACCTTGGTAAACCTTGGTAGCTTGAAGCAGAACTTTGGTGTAAACCTTGGTAGCTTGAACCAGACCACAGTGGAAGAATTTATGCTAGGGAAATTGACAAACCCTGTAAAGCAAGATACTTTTAATAGAGCTGGTTTACTAGCACACCACTGCCCTGTTTCATTATTAATAAAACAAGAATAATAGTATGTGCCTGCCAATATTATTGTGAAGGGTTCAGATGATTTGTAAAATGTCTAACATGTTGTCTACTATGTAGTCAATTCTCAACAGATGACAGCCATGGTTATAAATGTAATACTGTGAAGAGACTGGTCTTGTTAAAGGAGCAGCAGGGTGCAGATTTGAATCATGGGTGAAGCTGGCCCAGAAGACAGTGGTTTTTCAGCACCGCTGTAACAAAGCATAACTTCAGATGCTATTCTTCATAAGTCATTTTTTTAAATCGTGAAACAACTTATATCCATTAGAACAGGAGTCCCCAATCCCCACAATACCAGTTTGTGGCCTTTTAGGAACTGGGCCACATAGCAGAAGGTGAGCAGTGGTGGAGTGAAGCTTCACCTCTATTTACAGCCACTCCCCATTGCTCACATTTCCACCTGAGCTCCACTTCCTGTCAGATCACGGGCAGCATCAGATTCTCAGAGGAGCACGAATGCTATTGTGAACTGTGCATGCGAGGGATGTAGGTTGCATGTTCCTTATGAGAATCTAATGCCTGATGATCTGCCACTGTTTCCCATCACCCCCATATGGGACCACCTAGTTGCAGGAAAACAAGCTCAGGGCTCCCACTGATTTTACATTATGGTGAGTTGTATGATTATTTCATTATTCATCACAATGTCATAATAATAGAAATAAATTGCAAAATAAATGTATGTACTTGAATCATCCTGAAACCATCCCCTACCTCCTGATCCATGGAAAAACTGTCTTCCATGAAACCAGTCTCTGGTGCCAAAAAGGTTGGAGAATGCTGCTTTAGAAGAAAGAAAGGTCACTGAATGATATTTAAGTTTTCCCATAACAGGTTATGGGCTCTCAGTTATTTCTGAAGTAAGGAGAACTGGTAAGGCTGCTGAAAATGCTTACAGTGCATTTTTGAAAACCATTTGGATGATTTGATATCACTTCTTTAACTATTAACATTTCTTTACTGAAAGTGATACAGACGCTTTTATTTTACTAAATTACTTCTCAATTATTTAGCTTATAGTATGATCTTAGGTAACAAAGCTAATTTTATATTCTCTTGTGATTATTAACCTAAATCTGGTATAATGAGATGCTTCCTCCCCTCAGGAGCGGTCCAGCTGTGACTCAGCTGCATCAAATTTATGTCTTCTGAAATTAAGACACCTGGATTTGTTTGCTAAACTCTATTTAAAAACTACTCAGTGAGGATTCTCTTGATTTTGCACCATTCACAGGAAGAAATTCTGAAAGTTGAATTATTGGTTCCCGTATTTTTTATTTTTTATTTTTTTTTATAAAATCATGATAAACAGAACTCTTACTTCATCCATTTTGTTGTTGCTGTTGCCGCATTTTGCTTTTTCTTCCTCCTTTCCTCTCCCTCTTGGCAAAAGAATGCTACAAAAATATAAAGATTGTTGTAATCTGGGGCGAAATTATCCATCCACCTAAATAATCTCCTCCTGTTATCTTTGATGAATATGTCTAACACCATTAATAAGCAATAGTTTCTTATAAAAAATGCAGCCGTTTCCAAGAAAATTTTGATGCTTGACTTTTGGGGTATTCTCTCATCTGACTTCTTTCAAATGTTTGTGAAATCGCTGATTTGGAAATCTTTAGACTTAGCCAATAAAAGTGAAATAATGTAAATGGATATGGATTTGAATAAAGAATATGGTTTTATTTTTAAGTAAAATGAGAAAAACATTCAAGGGCTCGTAGTCCCTTAGTTTCATCACCCAGTTTCATCCCAAAGCTGCCATAGAAGCTCCTGTCTGAAAAATATGCCTACTCTACTCTTGAAAGCCCATTCTTGGCATCACGGATGCCACCACCAAATGCCAGACAATGTTGGCAACTACAGAATTGCTGTCATTTCTCATTAGCAGGCATCAAAATGTCCTAATACTCTCTGCCACTATCTGGGCCTGTTGAGATATTAATTAAACATGTCTTTCTTGCCAAGTCATGTGATCAACTTTCACTAGGCTAGGTAGAGCCAAGTGAGCCCATCCAACTACACTGGATAAAGAAATACCTCTAAGAATTTGTCTGTGAAGAGGAAAATGCCTCCCATTTGTATTACTGCAAAGGAATTCAGAGCTCTAGAAAAGCCTGTGTGTGTTTTCTACCATATGGCTATCTGTTGCTGAGTTATCCCACTTAGAGAATATTCAAGCATTTGATGGAAACATATCCCTACTCAGAAAATGAGCTCCTCTAGAGTTTGAATGACATAGATAGAGATTTCCTGAGATAATAAAACCTGCATTGGGGCAGGCCAGACTGATTGTCCTACAGGTTCCTAAATTACCTGAAGCTAGGTGGACAGCACAAACTTTGTTAATTTATTGTCCAAAAGCACTATTTTTCTTTTGTATAGTTCTTTAAATTAAGCTGACTTAATTAAGCTCTGTGTAAGAGCAAAATAACATTTTCTGGACTTCCACAAGGGAGAGATTCTCAATAATAAGGATTCCTGCCTTCCCACAGCATAGCAGTTCCAGGAGAGAAGTACTGGGATTGCATGCGTATTAGATGCCCTTGAGTAAGGCAAGTAGGAAACTCCAGACAGCAGTACTTGCTGCTTGGTTGTTAGTATAGGTGTCTACTCCTGTGTGTTACAGCACCTGATGGGAAAGCCCAAGCTATGATAAAAAAAAAAAAAAAAAAAATCTCCTCTCTTCTCAGCTGACCATGTGGCTGATTAGCCACAAGGCCAGTCATCCCAAAGGGTGCTGAAGAGAAGTGGGCTGGGAGGGGAAGCCCAGTGATGGATGATGAAAGTGCAGTCATTGCAAAACAAGTCCTTCTCTTATTGTTGCTAGATCCACTGCTTATGACCTATTTTCCGCTTTTACCAGATAAAATGTACCATCAACTCTGTCTTGAAACTTTTGCTTTCCTGCAGTGTGATTGCCACAGTTCCACTGAACAGAGGTCATTTTCGCTAAGCTTCCTTTCTACAGTCTAAACTAGGTTTTTGAGCTAACACGTATTTTAGAAGTAAAAATAATACTACAGAATGATGCATAGGGCAAAAATAGTATAGAGGAGAAATTTATTGAGAAGCATTTGGATTGCTATTAGTAATCAAGAAAAATGTTTATTAATAAGTAACATTTCTCCTCTTCCTTTATACATATAGATGAGATATTGAAAGAAGTTGAACATAGCAGAAGCATGTTAGTCTAAAGCCCAAGTAATCTCTTTGCTATTTAAAAATTCTAAAGGATTTGAATTAGGATTTCAGTTCACATTCAAAGTGGTAGTTTTTTTTCCCATTTGTCATCACCCTATGCTTCTCATGCACTACCTACCTTAAGATGAAATAAATGAATATCAGGTAGTAAATTCTACCACATGTGGTTATTATCCAAGGAATGGGCTCACATTGACACTTGATTAACATCAGTTTCACATGTGGTAATAAAAAAAAAATTAATCTGTGCAAACTGTAATTGTCATGCTGGGATCATTTAGATTCCAGCAGTCTCTCTGTTGAGCAGTTTAAGAAAACTGTGTTTTCATTGTACTTTTTAAATGAGGAAGCCCAGTGGAAAAATCATATTTGAATCTTGAGAAATCTTTTGCTTTCTAAAAGTGCAGTAAATGAATATAACTTTGATGGTTGGGAAGATGAGCTTGTTATCCACAGACTTAAAAAATTAAGAATAAATATACAAGTTTTTTGGAGGGGTAATTTAGTAGATATTTTAAAATACTTACCAGCCAGGCATGGTGGCTCTCGCCTGTAATCCCAGCACTTTGGGAGGCCGAGGTGGGTAGATCATGAGGTCAGGAGATCAAGACCATCCTGTCTAACACATGGTGAAACCCCGTCTCTACTAAAAATAAAAAAAATAGCTGGGCGTGGTGGCAGGCGCCTGTAGTCCCAGCTACTCGGGAGGCTGAGGCAAGAGAATGGCCTGAACCCGGGAGGCAGAGCTTGCAGTGAGCCAAGATAGTGCCACCGCACTCCAGCCTGGGCAACAGTGCAAAACTCTGTCTCAAAAAAAAAATACCGATATAATGATGTATTAAGGTTAGCAACTATGCCTAAAAAATGAGTCCTCTGAAATGCTACCTTCTTACACAGGTCTGCAACCACCCCAATTTCCCAAATTTTACCCTAGTTCTCTCCCCCAAGCATGTGGCTACCTACTAGTTTTAACCAAAGAAGGAAGGCTTTAAGCAGGAGGGAGAAAGAATATGGAGACGTTAGGAGAGTGGGTGGGGAGAAAAGGAGGAGAGAGCTGCACTCTTCATCTGTATATAAGATCATGTTACTTGCAAACAGAGACAAGTTACCTCTGAATGGCAAGGCTGAGAACACTAGTGTTTCTAGCTCTGTGCTTTCTACAGTGTGATTTGTGGACAAATAGAGGGCTTTATATGCATTGCAAGTGACCCTGAAGATAATATAAATGCAGCTTAGAAGAAGTAGAAATGTATCTATTTTTAAAGTAATCTTACTTCTTACCTTAGATTTAAATATATACTTAAGGTCAAAAAGTATTTTTAAAATCAAAAGAACAGTATTTTTTTCCATGTAAAACCAGAGCAAGATTTTTTTTTAAAAAAACTGGTAGTAAGCAGAAGTGATTTCATTAATGCCTCTTTGGAAACAGTTTATGGATAAAATTAGCAATATGATCTATCACTGACATTTACTCTTTTATCCTTTATGCAGAAGGGCTTTTCATTTATAACAATGAGAGAGATTATAAATCAGTTATTAAAACCTTATCAAAGACAAAGGCATAGACATTTTTACATTAAAATTATGAATGCAAAAACAGACCAGCCTGGTCTCTTACAAACCATGAACAGTATAAACACATTGACAGTTCTTATACTAGATAGATCCTAAATAAAAATGAAATCAAATAATACTCATTCCTGGAGGTATACCTCATATAAGTCCCTTTATGTCATCAGCAACCCTATTGTATTGACATAAGCTCTCTATCCACTGTTCTTCTTAATGCCACCGACCAGGTGCTTTTCATCTTTGAACACAAATGCCTATCCCACTGCTTAGTGCTTGGTAAGTATTAAATACAATTTGGGGCAACTAAACTGTAACTGTGTCTGAATGCACAAACACACACACATACCCCCAAATATATACACATACCTCTCAAATGACTGTAAAGATAGGTTCATCAGACTCGGAACATACAAAGCCCTTGCTACATAAGAGAAGCTTTCTCTGTGGGATACAGCATCTTAAATTCTTTTCAATTCTCAATAAGAGAGAAGAACTTTATTTTCATTTGGTAATGTTCCTGATATATAGTACATGATATTCTTTATGCCAAGTTTTGTTCTATCAAAAAATATCTGACACTTCCAAACTCATTTTATGAGTCCAGCATTACCCTGATACTGAATCCAGACTAGGAGACTACAATTAAAATTACAAGTCAGTATCCCTGATGAGCATACATGCAAAAATCTTCAAGAAAATAGCAGCAAACCAAGTTCTACAGCATATTCCAAGAATTATACACCAAGATCAACTGGGATTTATCCCTGGATGCAAGGATGGTTTGATATATCTAAATTAGCAAATGTGATTACACCGTATAAACAAAATGAAGGATAAGAATCATATGATCATTTCAACAGACACAGAAGAAGCATTTGACAAAATTCAACATCCTTTCATAATAAAAACTCTCAGCAAACTAGATACAGAAGGAACATACCTCAATTCAATAAAGGCTGTATGTGAGGAGCCCACAGCTATCATCATCCTCAATGGTGAAAAACTGAACGCTTTCCCTCAAGGATCAGGAAAAAGACAAGGATCCCCACTCCTGTCACTTCTATTCAACAATGCACTGAAAGTCGTAAGCAGAGCAATTGGGTAAGAAGAAGAAAAAAACACATCCAAATCCAAAAGGAAGAAGTTAGATTTTCTCTGTTTGCAGATGACATGCTCTTATAGAGAGATGTCCCTGACTTCAGGTGGTTTGACTTACAACTTTTTCAATTTTATAGTGGTGTGAAGCCAATGCAATTTGGTGTACTTCAAATTTTAGATCTTTTCCTGAACTAGCAATATGTGGTTCATGAGATAATTCACACTGTATTAAAAAATAGACTTTCTATTAGATGATTTTGCCCAACTATAGGGTAATGTAAGTGTTCTGAGCACATTTAAGTTTGGCTAGGTTAAGCTATGATGTTTGCTATGTTAGATGTATTAGATACATTTTTTACTTTTGGTATTTTCAACTTATCAGTTTATCAGTATGTGACCCCATGGTAAATCCAGGAGCATCTACATATAGAAAACCCTACAGACTCCACCAAAAAACTATTAGAATTAACAAGCAAATTCAGTAAAGTGGCAGTATACAAAATCATACAAAAATCAGTTTTGTTTCTATACACTACCAATGAACTATCTGAAAGAAAAATTGAAATCTTCCCACTTGTAATAGTATCAAAAAGCATAAATTACTTAGGCATATATTTAACCAAAGAGGTGAGTGAAGGATCCATACATTGATACCATGAACATGGATGAAAAAAAGTGAAGACGACACAAATAGATGGAAAGATAACCCATGTTCTCAGATTGGAAGAGTTTAACAGTTAGTCCCACTAAAATATCCTTATCAATGCAAGCTATACAATCAAGGAATCTCTATCAAATTTCCAATCAGATGTTTTATAGAAATAGAAAAAAAAATCCTAAAATTCATGTGGAATCACAAAAGACCCCAAATGGACAAAGCAATAGCAAAAGAAAGCTGGAGGAATCACATACTAAGTGTGAGGGAAATGCATATCAAAGTCATTTGTGACAACATGGCTAAACCTAGACAGCATAATGCTAAGTGAAATAAGCCAGACAGAGAAAAACAAATGCTGTATCTATCACTTATATAGGGAACCTAAAAAAAAATGAAATGTCAAACTCACAGAAACAGGGAGTAAAATAATAGTAAATGCAGAAGCTGAGGGTAGGGACAATGGAGAAATGTTGATCAAAAGGTACAAACTTTCAATTACAAGATGAATAAGTTCTGGGGAGCTAATATACAACATGGTGACTACAGTTAATTATACTGTATTGTATACTTGAAATTTGCTAAAAGAGTAGATCTGAAGTGTTCTCACACAAAAAAGAATATCTGAGTTGATGGGTGTGTTAATTAACCCGATTGTGGTAATCATTTCACAATGTGTGTGTGTGTGTGTGTGTGTGTATATATATATATATATAAAACAAATCATCATGTTGTACATTTTAAATATATACAATTTTATTTGTCATGTGTACCTCCATGAGACTGAAATTAAAAAAAGAAAGTAGCAGGAAAAGTAGGCTTCAATATCAACACAATGGATTTTTGGACATTTTGAGGCAAGGACTCTATTATACACATCAGAAGAGTGTAGAAAAGCAATAGTTGAGCGAGAAGTACCCTCTGTGCTTTTCCTGACAGATGATTCCAAGGCATAGGATGCTAAGGGTGTTTGATTTCTAGGGCTGCCATTAATAAATAACCACATTCTTGCTGGTCAAAACAACAGAAATTTATTCTCTCACAGATTTGCAGTTTAGAAGTCCATAATCAAGGTGCTGGCAAGCCCACGCTCCCCTTGAAATTTCTAGGAAAGACTTTTCTTTGCCTTTCACTGGCTTCTATTGATTGCCAGTAATTTTTGGCATACCTTGACTTGTACATGCCTCAATCTATTCTCTGCCTCCTTCTTCACACAGCCACGTTCCCTGGGTGTTTCTGTCTCTGTCCCTGTGTCAGAATCTTTCTCTCCTTTCTCTTGTAAAGACACCAGCCATTGGATTGAGTGTCCACATTGATCCAGTACAAATTAATCTTGACAAATTACATCTGCAAAGACTGTATTCCCAAATACGATCCCATCATGAGTTTGGGTGGAAGTGAGCTTTTGCAGGACTCTCTACACCCCGCTTTGCCACACCTGCTCCTGTCCAGCACGGAGCTCCCTGTGTCCCCTGTGCTTTCCCAGCTCCGTTATGCCATCCCCTAACCTGCACCCCAGATTACTCTTCTCCCCACTTTTACCACACTCAAAATTTACTTTCTGTAGGCTCCAGTCACATTCTCTTTTTATTTTGTGAAATCTTGTTTGCTCACTAAAACTTAAACGGATTTCTCTTTTGTAAAAAAAAAAAAATATTTTTGACAGCAATTAGTTCTGTGTAATGTCTCTGGTATTTATACACTCAGTTAATTTTTTTTCCAAGTGTTTTACCCACAGTTTTTTCTCCCAGAAAATAAATTGTGTAGGCCTAAGTTAACTATTCTGTCTCTCTTTTTGCAAAACCTAATAGTCTTTGTTGATTAAATTTTTCATTTTGAACACACTCTGTGGGTTTAAAGAACCCTGAGGAGAAGGGAGAGGAGAGTATGTTAGGTATTGAATTTTCATTCTTCAAAATTGCATGTAAGGAAGATATTTTATTTTTCAGATGAAAAAGCTGAGGTTCAAAGTTCATGGCAGAGCCACAATTTCAAACCATTTCCTGTTGATTTTGTGAAATCTGTGCTTGTCCATACTCCCTCCCTTCTGCCATGGCATTTCCAACTCTCAGAGCACCAATTCCAAACAGCCTGGAGACTGGGAAGTGGTTCTGAGAAGTTGGTTTTCTATTGGCAGCTCTAGTAGAGAAGCCCTGTCCTGTAGCTCCTGACATGAGTCCCCAGTGCATCAGCCTGAGAGCAGCTGCTGTGGGAGTAAGTTCAGGGTACCTCTGAGAAAAGAGGGGGCCCTCACTGACCTAGAGGCATGTATGAAAACCTAGGGCTCCCAAGGGGTCTTGGCAATCATTTATTCTAGCTACCTCATTTTATGGAGACAGTATATAATCATTAAAAATGTTTTAGTCCGGGCACAGTGGCTCACTTCGGTAATCCCAGCACTTTGGGAGGCCGAGGCGGGAGGATCACTTGAGCCCAGGACTTCAAGACCAGCCTCGCCAACATGGTGAAACCTCATCTCTACTAAAAATACAAAAATTAGCTGGGCGTGGTGTTACGTGCCTGTAATCCCAAATACTCGGGAGGCTAAGGCAGGAGAATCACTTGAACCCGGGAGGCAGAGGTTGCAGTGACCCGAGATTGCACCACGGCTTGGGGTCCTGGGCGACAGAATGAGATTCTGTCTTAAAAAAAAAAAAACAAAAAACCTCTGAGAAAGACCATATTTAAATTACATTAAATTTTGGAGTTATAATCACATTAATATAAATTATATCGAGATTGTATTTTTTGTTTAAAAATATAATTTAAAAACTATATTCATATATATATATATATGAATCAGAAAGACTCATTTTTCCAGGCATTTTGGGTTAGGGAAAATCTGTCCTTTGCTTCCCCGACCATTTTGAATGTGATTAAATATGCACACACACATGCACACACACACGCATGCACACACTGATGCAAACTTTAGCAAGTGACATGAGGGTGTCTTTTCACAGGATAACTTTTTTCATTTGATTCCTCATTCATAAAACACTAGTATGATATACATCCCCACATAGATTTTCCCCGTTTCTATAAAGGATGAAGATTCAAATGCTGCAAAGCTCACTCCGGGCCCCTGGCTCAGAAACAGTTCTCTCAGCACTCTCCTGACATTATTAATGGCCCTGATGTACAAACCCAGAATAAAATAGAATTAAAATCCAAAGTTAATTTCAAGCTCCATTAGAAATTAAAGGTGTTGGGAAAGAAATCAATATTTGCCCAGTGCAAAATGACTAAATTCAAAGCAATTAATTCTATTATTTTGTAACTTCTAAAAACTATAAAAGACCTTCAAACAATAAAATGTTGCCATGCGCACACACATATACAATGTGTGACTAAAAATAATGAGAATGATATCCAGCAGCGACATGCAAAAATCTCTTTTATTATTTTATAGCCACACTATGTAGTGTACACACTAAAGTGTGTCTTAAAATAGAGCCAATTATTCCATAAAATTCGTGGCTATTTCCAGCAATTATCAGCACTTAGTTGTAAATCTGGGAGAATTTAAGGGACAGAAACAATGCAAAAGAGCGAGGAGATTAATTTAAATGGAAGAAATGTATCTGTTTTCTTAATTTTGCTTTCTCTTTTTCCAGCTTCTTTTTATGTAATGCTATCGATCACCAAACAAATGGCCTTAAACGCTGTAGTTCCCAACAGGATGAAGTATTTCACAACCTGTAGAGCTGTAGGTTATAATACACATAAAACTGGCACTCGGTAAAAGCTTTTTCCTGTCAGAATCATTGCCATTTCTTCCCTGTAGTGCCTTTTGGAGAAAGTCTGAGTTAACAAATGGATCTTTTCCAGGTGCAGAAAGATCAGAGTCAAATGGGTTTGGATCAGATCTTGTAACGAGAATGTGTCACTCTTTCCCTCCCCTTGTCAAGAAGGAGTCTCTTAAGAACCGGCTCAAGCATCACTTATCATTACAGCAGACTGGGGTGAACAGTTGTAAAAGATAATGATAGACCAAACCAGTTCTTAGCTAAGGAGATGTCATGAGCCTTCTGATGAAACCTTTCTCTCTTTGTGATAGAGATAGTCAAAATGATTAAGGACTACTAGCAACAGAGGAAGGCATGGCCAGGCACTAGGACCATTCTAAGACCCATCAATATGAGGAAATGGAGCCATCGTTGGCCAAAGGCTCGGGTCCTTCAAGTTTCTAAAATTTTTTGTTTGTTTGTTCTGTTTGTTTTTTGTTCGAGATGGAGTTTTGCTCTTGTTGCTCAGGTTACAGTGCAATGGCGCGATCTCGGCTCACTGCAACCTCCGCCTCCTGGGTTCAAGCAATTCTCCTGCTTCAGCCTCCTGAGTAGCTGGGATTACAGGCATGCACCACCATGCCCGGCTAATTTTATATTTTTAGTAGAGACAAGGTTTCTCCATGTTGGTCAGGCTGGTGTCAAAATCCCGACCTCAGGCAATCCACCTGCCTCGGCCTCCCAAAATGCTGGGATTACAGGCGTGAGCCACCACGCCTGGCCCAAGTTTCTAGATTTTGACACGTCCTTCCAGTGGCTGCTAATCAACCCCTGGCCCTTTGAAAAGTTGTATCTTTTTAAATTGATTTCTTTCAAAATTGTACTAAATGTAGTTAGTTGCCCGGAAGGTGTGACTTGTTTAACCTAATGAATCAAAGCTGGGCTTTAGCAGTTGAGCCACCTGGGCCACTAACATCTACCCACTGTCTGGTTTTCCACACTAGCTATAACAAAAACACACTTGTTAGACCAAATTGATTTTCTGCTCTCTTTACGTCTCCAAATTACTCAGCTGTTTCTTCCTTCCTGTGATATTTTAAAAGGTCTGGGGTTCTAGCCCCAACTCTGTCACTTACTGTGGGTGTGAGCTGAGGCTAGTGATTTGGCCTCCCTGATCCTCACTCCCCTCTCCTGTCAAATGAAAATGATTGTATTTACCTTGTAAGTTGTTTTCTTAAAAGAAAAAAATAAAACAATTTAAAATGCATGTGAAGTGGATGTTCATGATCAGACCTATTGTAGACTCTCCAAAGTAGCAGCTGTGGACATTACCATGGATCTCCATTTTCCTGGGTTTCCCAGGACTGCACACTCTCTCCCCGCTCTGCTTCCTTCAGACCTACTCTCCAGAGAGCTTCTGGTACCTAATATTAGTGTTTGTAGGTGACCATAAGTCAAGTTAGCAAATATGACATATAGGAAAGTAGATAAGAATGCAGGGGTATGAAAATAAGGTAAAAATGGGGAGTAACATGTGTTTAAAAATTGTTAATCTTTCTCAACAACATTTCTTATGGACTCAGCTAAGTAACCCAAGGAGGTTGTCTCTCTTCACCCGCTCCTCCCCACACCAGTCCACCCTTCAACCCTTCAACGTGGCTACCATCTTCTCTATATCACTGGATCGACTCTTGTCAGTTACTTCTATATTGGCAAATTGATGTTAACTTATATAAATGGGACATCTATATTTTATAGAAGTTGCTTTCTCTTTCTTTCTTTTTTTTTTTTTTTTTTTTTTTTTGGAGTCTCGCTCTGTCACCCAGGCTGGAGTGCAGTAGGGCAATCTCGGCTCACTGCAAGCTCCGCCTCCCAGGTTCACACCATTCTCCTGCCTCAGCCTCCCGAGTAGCTGGGACTACAGGTGTCTGCCACCACGCGCGGCTAATTTTTTGTATTTTTTAGTAGAGACGGAGTTTCACCATGTTAGCCAGGATGGTTGATCTCCTGACCTCGTGATCGGCCTGCCTCGTCCTCCCAAAGTGCTGAGATTACAGGCGTGAGCCACCGCGCCTGGCCACTTTCTCTTTCTTATAGTGGTTTTTCTTTGTTTTCTGTAACTCAGCAGCTCTTCATTTGGGTTCAGTGTAGTTCAAGCCTCTGCTTCTCAGTATACTTCCTGGGCTTTTTCTTTAGCCTTGTCCTCCAGTAGTGGTGCTCTCCAGCTGTGTCCTCAGGCTTTCCTTCTCAACATATGCACTTACCCTTACTGTCCCTAACCATGGCATCAATTTTCATTTACATAGTGATTCCTTCATCCATATTGCCACTCTAGAACATTTTGCTGGGCCCATTAAATGTCCTGGTGGACAGTGACCAGCACATAGTAGAAATGTAATAAATTATTATTGAATGAATGATGTCTCTAGATCCTAGCCATTATATCCCTGCATCAAGCTTGGCATATTGAAAATCAACTTATTCTTTCTGCCCCCTGTCCCCCATTCCAACCAGACTTCCTTTTCCTCCTGCATTTCCTATAAAGGAAAAACGGTCCTTTAGCAACCCAGCCACTGAAGCCAGTAATCTAGCCACATCTAATTGGTCACCAAGTTCAGCATCTTCCATCTCTGGAATGCCATTTGTATCCCATCTTCCTCTTCAGGTCATACTTCAACACAGATACTCCCCATTTCTGAATAACAGCAAAAACCTTGCAACTCTTGATTTAAGGGCCTTCAGTTTATCCTTCACACATCTGCAAAAGTGAGAATTTGATGCCATGACTTATCAGGTCTTATCAGGTTAAATCCGGATATTCTTTGGCTGTGTCCCCACCCAAATCTCATATTGAATTGTAGCTCCCATAATCCCTGCATGTCATGGGAGGGACCTGATGGGAGATAATTAAATCATAGGGGCAGATTTTCCCGTGCTGTTCTCAGCATAGGGAATACGTCTCATGAGATCTGATGATTTTTTAAAGGGCAGTTCCCCTGCACACTCTCTCTTGCCTGACACTATGTAAGACATGCCTATGACTCCTTCGCCTTCTGCCATGATTGTGAGGCCTCCGCAGCCATGTGGAACTGTGAGTCCATTAAACCTCTTTTTCTTTATAAATTACTCAGTCTCGGATATTTCTTCATAGCAGTATGAAAATGGACGAATACAAAACCCTTTAATAAATCTCCAAAGTTGTAAATATAAAATTTGAATAAACTAATCTCACAAAATATGCATAATCTAGTTCCTGTCTTTGTATAGTTTAACCTTTACCCAGTTCCCACTCAGCTGCAGGCATTCTGAGCATGCTATAATGCTTTGTACACGTCTTTGTATGGAATGCAAACTCCCTCTTTTACTTAATTATCATTGGCATGTTCTTCATTACTCAGCTCAAGTCTCTTTGATTGCAGGAAACATTGTATCATCCCAAATCTGATTTAGGGCCCCCACTCTCTGTTCTCCCACAGCATGCTGTGCAGACCGTGTCATAGAAAGAGCAATACAGAGTTGTGGGATATTTGCTTTTTGATGTCAAAAAATATCTTATTAACTTCTCATACCAAAAAACAGGACAGGACTGATGCAATAGTTATTCAACAAATGCTTGTCATATAATGAATGGAAATTCCATATATCCAGCCTGACACTCCCGAAATTACTTACTGGTCTGACTTTTTTGCTTGAAGGAAAGCAGCTGGACTTGGGTTAAACTTTCACTCTTCTCTTTCTCTGTCTCTTCCCTTCATTGTGCTTTTTCTTTCTAACCTGTATCAAATGAGAGAGAACCTGATATTAGTCACATATTTGGAAATTTTTTGGTATCACTGAGATTTGGTCCCTCTCACTGTCTTAGCAGTTACACTTTAAGCTGGCTTACATATAGTTGTAAAAAGAAAGACTAGGTTCCCCAGTTAAAGAAACTTCAGGGACAGAAAAGCTCTCTTCTGCTTGTTTCCTTGCTTGTAAAGTTAGTCTTTGATATAAAGTTTAATCCTTTTATGCTGCCTGGAATGTGCTCAGAGGTTTTCTCTGCAGATTGTTTCATCTGGCAGTTAATTCCTGGGTACTTCTGGGAATTGAAGGAAAGAGGTTTTTGAGTTTTAGTTACTGAACTTCGATACCACCAGTCAATCCAACAGTTCTATGTCTGTATGGTTTTTTGCTTTGTTTCCTCTAAATCGGTGATTCTTAAATTGTATTTTATTTGATGGGCACATGAGTAAGTCAATACAAGTACAGACTCCTGGGCACCATCCCTTCTGATTCATAAGGTCTATAATAGAGTCATGGAATCTGAATTTCACTGGGCTTATGAGAAGATTCCAGAGCAGAGGATTCGTGCCAGTGTGACTAGGGAATCTGTTTTCTCTCTTAGCCTTTCTATCTGATCAGAAGATGAAACCTGTCTGGGGTTCTGCGTATTCTAATTCTTTCTCTTCTTTGACTTCAAGTTCCCCAGACTCTGAGGGCTAAAACCCAGTATTTAGTGGCCTTTTACAGAGCAAATTGGCTGGCCATTCCACCTTATCCTTGCCATGTAAGCCACCAGCCATGCAGACTTTCCATTACCTCATGATCAAGAGTTTCAGTCTCTTCACCCTCACCAGGACAGAGGACATAGTCAAGGAGATCCCTGCAGAATACACTGACAAAGGACTTCAGAAATAAAGGGAGTCCCAGTTATGAGGATAGCAGACAAGGAAATATGGTAGAGCTTATGTTCTGAATCAATCATTTCAGATTCTTTGGTTTTTACATTGAACATGTATTTGTGATTACTACAAATGGTTCCAAAAAAAAAAAATTCCCAAAAAGTAAAAGTACAACCAATGCCATACAAAATAGATTAAAAAAATCTCCAAAAGTTTAATGGTTCATAAGTACACTCATAAATTTTGAATTATTATTAATTCATAATTCCCAAGTAGTATGATAACTAGTATGCACTTTACAAAAGGCTTGGTAGGTTAATATATGACAAATATTGCTTGGAAATTTTATTTTATTACAACACTCAATTTCTAAATTTTAGATTTCATAAGTAAGTGCTCCTGTGATGGGCCTACAACCATATATATATATATATATATAATGCTTCCTCATATATATATACATGAGGAAGCTTTAGTTACTGAACTTGGATACCACCAGTCAATCCAACAGTTCTATGTCTATATGGTTTTTTGCTTTGTTTCCTCTAAATCAGTGATTCTTAAATTATATTTTATTTGATGATCTCATGAGTAAGTCAATACAAGTACAGACTCCTGGGCACCATCCCTTCTGATTCATAAGGTCTGATTCATATATATATGTGAGGAAGCATTATTTCCCACTGTTCTGAAGCAGCCAAGTAAGAATTAAGCTATTGTGTCGGTGCATACAGACAACTGCAGTCCTTTGCAGTTTTTCGCCCCTCTGGCTACCTTTATTATGTCAGTGACAAAAGGTGATACATTTAGTACATCGTGAATACCGACCTTTCACACTCTTTGAGCCCCTCTAGCACTTTTTCTTTTTGTTCTGATCTTCATACACTATTTAAGAGTGTTATCAGCACCAAGAATTCATAGAGTAATGATTCCACTATTTAATTCTTCATTTCTTTAAACAAGTTTTTTTCTTCCTCAAGCCGATTTTCTTTTTTAATGAAAAAGCTAATTATCCTTTAAAACAACATTTTTTTTTTTTGCATTTTGCAATAAAGCTAGGAAGTAATTTAGTAACTTTCTAATAGTAAGTTAATGAGTTTTATCCCAGATCTAGTATCGTGGGGCATATTTTTTATGTGTACATAATGTTTCTAAACTAAGCCCAGTTAATATTTTCTTTTACATTTATCAGCAAGAAAGAGAGAAAGGAGACTAAAAACAGACCCATAGCTCCCCAAAGTGCTTAACAGGAGTATTTAATGGCATCCAATCATACTTAGTCGCTGTGTAGATAGAAAGCTCTTTGCAACAAAACGACAAAGATCAGACAAACCACTATAGTAGCCACCAGAGAACTTTGTATTTCTTATGTCCATTCTGGGCTGATTGTCCCTAAATAAGAGCTAACCTATTTTCTCTGACTTTACATGAGCAAAGAAAATGCCTTCAAAGTGCTTTCTATAGCAGGAGGTACAGGTGCCAACGTAAACCTAGATAAAAGCTGTTTGTATATTTATTTGTTTGCTTGTTTTTATCACACTCAGTGGCCTCGTGATGCATGTAATTACCTTGACCAAAGCATAATAGTAGACAGCATTACCTTGGAAGAGTCTTAGTAAGATACAAACTGGACACATTTTTGAGAGAAGAAATAATAGGAGTTGGGTGAAAACATATACAGCATGGGATCCCACCTAATGCACTTTATATCCTAAAATAGGGAGCTCTCCACACTCTCACCATCGCCGTGCCCACACATCTCATACGTGCATGCACTCATGTATTACTAATTCTGTGGTGTCACAGTGTCCACACTCCCATTTGCAGACTTGTCCTTTTGAGACAGTTTTTTGGAACCAGGGAGCACTTTTCTTGATAGAGAGAATTCTAAATTTTTTTGCACAATCAAAATCTTCAGTACTAAATATTCACATTAGCAACATAAGAAAAGTGTCCATATAAAGACTAATTGTCCATACAACAGTTCCTAATGTTACATTTTAGTTAGATGATCTACAGTTTAGGTCACAGATACTCAGACCTATTCCAGAATCTAGCCATATTCAACTTTCATACATCATTTTTTCTCATAACTAAAGATCAAAGTAGTAGGAAAATTTTCATGATATTGCAAAGAGATTTTTAAAAATACATTAGCTTAAAGTTATTTATCATTAGGAACCTAAGTTTTATTCTTATTTAAAGAACCATAAATAGAATTTAAATCAACATCTATCAAGATCTGTCTATCATATCACCTTCCAGAAGTCAACACTGTAAAACTCAAATATGCGTGGCTTTTGGACAACAATTCCATTTTTAGAATTGTATAGCAAGCAAATAATAAGACAGAGTTACAAAGATTTATGTATGCTTTTCATCTCAGCATAGTTTTGAATGATGAAAAATGTGAAAATATTTTAACATCAATAGTTGTATGGTAAAATAAATGATCTGATGACATGCTAAGAAACAATTAGAGTTAGCAAGCAGAGCTATGTTGTTTGACAGAGAAAACATAAGAAACCTACTCTATACTAAACAGAAAATAAAACTAAAATGAAAATACCTGGTTGAAAATATAAAGAAAGAAAAAAACATAAAGTGATATATCAATTTTAACAGTGATATTTTCCAAGTAATAAGAGTAGGTCATTTGAATATTTTTTCATATTTTTAATAAATTGTTTCAGTTGAAATCAAATGAAAATCTATTATTTGTATAATAAATGATACATGTATTTTCATTTAAAAATATTTGGTAAAGAGAAACTAAAGAGGAATAAAAGACCAGATGTTTAGTTTTACTGTATTTTAAATCTGTACTCATATTTGAAATACCTATTTGTTTGTCTAAATGCCCGAATGGATTATAATCTTCTTAAGGCAAGAGGCCGTGGATTGCCCTTTTTTTTTTCCATTGTACCCCTACAAAATAGTAGTTGCATGATAATGTATTATGAATAAATGTGTAGGTGGCCTTGGTAAAGCCACTTTCTCTCTTTGAGGCTCATTTTTCTCATCTAGAAAATAAATACAGGGTTCTCTACTCACCTCGCTGGGGATTGCTGTAATGCTAAAAGGAGGCAACACATGTTGATTATAAAGCCTTCCATGTATGTGAAGGAACATTATTTTTAACCACAGTAATTACACTCATAGAAATCAGTGAAGCAAGTGTTGGATTCCCATCCCCAGGCTTGGCTCAAGGCCAAATACAAAATCATGAAGCAAGCCAAAAATACAGGCTGCACAAGCTGCTCATCTGTGCCTGCCTTCCTCACTTTAGAGACATAGCCTGCCCTCAGGTTCCCTGCACCTTCCTGCTCTATCTCTACCTCTCATGTAAAAGTGTATTCCCATTAAAATGGAACCAGAGACGCATGCTTCAATCTGCACCCGGGGGATATGCGTTTTCACCAGAGATAAGAAATTATCAGACAAGAACAGGATCAGACCTGGATTTTTCTGTTTTGGAAGACACACCTGAAATCACACACCCCTCCTTCCCCTCATCTGAAGGCCAACCACCACCACATGGTCCTTTCACCAGAGGTAGAGAGCACTTTGACACTCAGATCTCTGCTGGAAATGAAAACACCATAAATCTACTCAAGCAAATTTCACCCCTCTGTAAGAAAAATAACACATATTATTAAAAGTTATCCTTGTGTTACATGAAAAAATTAGAAAAAAATACAATGACAGTAGGCTTTGCTACTATATCCCCATAATCACAGTCATAATGTATTAGGTACTAAGAACAATACAGAACAACCATATTGGTTTATTCAGCTGTTTAATTAGATCACAGTTTTTTGGATAGATGAAGGTATAAAATATATATAGATATGGATATTATAAATCAATAGATGTAGATAGATTTTTACATCTATTTTAATTTTTTTTCTGTTTATAAATAAGTAAAATCATGTATTTTATATATTTAAATGTGTATGCATTTTAAATAGGTTTCAATATTTAAATATTACCATCTACTTTAAAAGTCTATTATATATTTGTTTCTTGTTTTTCAAGCTTTTTAACATAAGAGCCTGAAAACTATTCTAATGAGGACAAAGTAACAGAATAAACCTAGGCACATGCCCAAGGGAATGAAGTTTAATGGACTGTTTAGAAAAGCATGAGGTTAATTAGGTTAAGATTCTTAGAAAGTGAGATTTGAACTAAAAAAAAAAAATAATAAGGTGTTTTGCTGTTGGAAATGAGAAGATCATAAAATTCACTAAGAACTTATCCACAGTGAGTATAGAGAAGAGAATGGGCCATCCTACCCATTGCTGAGGCCAAAACCCATCCTGGCTGCCTCTCTACACTCACAACCCACGTCTACCCCATCAACTAGTTCTGCTCTCAATGACTCTATCACCGCCATTCTGGTTCAAACACCATCGTCCTCTGTCTGTTTTTGCAGTAGCTTCCTGCCTTAGTCGACCTACTTTCACCCAGGCCCTATTCACTCTCATCACAGCAGCCAGTGTGATTCTGTTAAAATATGCATTCTGGTCATGTCCAACCTCATGTTAAAAACAACAGCCTCCAAGGCCCTGAACTATACCTCGATGATCTTGGCTTCTACTGCCCTTCCCCTTGTTTGCTCACTCAGTTGCTCACACATTTTAATCATACTGGATGTGTTGCTGTCCCATGAACACATCGGGCAAGCATTAGATTCTCAGGGCATGGCGTGTGCTGTTCTTCCAACTTACCTACTGCATGGCAAGATCCATCAACTCCATCCAGTCATTGCCCAGATGTCATCTTCTCTTGAAGACCCACCTTAACAACCATATTTAAAATAGTAACCTCACTTCTGTTTTCCTTATCTCCCTTATCTGCTTTATTTTTCTTCATAGTTCATTATATTCTTTTTTTGTTTGTTTGTTTTGAGACAAGTCTCGCTCTGTCGCCCAGGCTGGAGTGCAGTGGTGTGATCTCGGCTCACTGCAACCTCCACCTCCTGGGTTCAAGCGATCCTCCTGCCTCAGCCTCCCAAGTAGCTGGGACTACAGGCTTGTGATACCATGCCCAGCTAATTTTTGTATTTTTAGTGGAGATGGGGTTTTACCATGTTGGCCAGGATGGTCTCGATCTCTTGACCTCGTGATCTGCCCACCTCGGCCTCCCAAAGTGCTGGGATTACAGGCGTGAACCACTGTATGCAGCCCATTATATTCTAATATACTGCATCTTTTGCTTATTTGTGTGCTATATCACCTGTCTCCCGCAATTAGAATGTTAATTACATGAGTTCAGGGACTTTTACCTGTCTATTATGTTTATAATTGTCTCCCCATCTAAAATAGTGTCCAGAACATTAGTAGGTACACAATAAATATTTTTTGGATTAACTACATTCATTTATTTGTGCTGGGAACAGCAACAAAACTAGTCTGAAGAGAAGGGGCTGAAATTAGACCTACAAAAGCCTGATTCAGTAGATTTTTCAGTTGGAAAATATTGAGTGCTTACATTAAGATAGTTATGGTATGATATACTGATACTGAAATGAAAGGTAAAAACCAAAGTAAAATTTAAGTATAGATCTTAAAATGAATAGCCCCAAACCATTTCTTACTGGAAAATTTAAGTCTGACTCTATTGCTGCTATTATAGCAGAGATAAGAGACTTACAAAATCTAGATGAATTAACAAAAGATTAAAATCATTTAAAATGTTAGGAGAAAACTTAATAAAACTCTTATAATGTGATTGCCAAAAAATGCACAAATATTTCCAGGAAGTGTTAAAAGTTGTCTATTGCTAATTATATATTTGTACTTTTTTTTACAGCTACTCATGTGTAGAACAAAAAAATAGACAAAATTACTCAGGCTCAATGATTCACTATGTACAGTTTACAAATTAATTAGCTTCTCTTAATTTTTTCAATTAAAAAAGTGTTAAAGCATTAGTTTATTGCTTATTTCCGTGTTAAAATGCTGGTTAATTGCAAAACATTATTAGGGGCCAATATTAAAATTCCACTTACAAGTGTCAGAGAAGCAAAACACATTTAAAGTTCATTTGCAAATCCAGCTTACCTAAATCTACTTGGGATAAAGCAATACTGCTGAAGTACGTAACCACATTCTGATGATGTATGTGCAATAGTTTTTCCCATTAGCTTACTAATGTATGTGTATGAGACAGAGAGAGAGAGAATGTGTGTGTGTGTGTGTGTGTGTGTGTTACTAGGATTAGCTCTAGTTTTTAACATCATAACAGAATATGAAGCACGATGCACAAAAATTCATTTATAATTTATAAACACTGAGCTTTTAATTTCAGGTGTTTCTTCTTTCTAGTTCTCTATGTCAATCATATAGCTAGATACAACCCAGAAGCAACTCTCATTCAGAAAACCACAAAATGTAATTAATTTCTTTCTTTTCTTTTTTTTTTTTTTTTTTGCGTGTGTGTGTGTGTGACATAATCTCGCTCTGTGCCCAGGATGCAGTGCAGTGGCGCAATCTCGGCTCACTGCGACCACTGCCTCCCGGATTCAAGCGATTCCCCTGCCTCAGCCTCCTGAATAGCTGGGATTGCAGGCACCCACCACCACACCCAGCTAATTTTTTTTTTTTTGTATTTTTAGTAGAGACCAGGTTTCACCATGTTGGGCAGGCTGGTCTCCAACTCCTGACCTCAAGTGATCTTCCCTCCATGACCTCCCAAGGTACTAGGATTACAGGCGTCAGCCACCATGCCCCACCAAGATGTAATGAATTCGATTAAGATTTGGAATCAGTCTTGCTGAGATATTCAAGAGGAAAATTGTGAAATGGGATCTGATGCTATTCACAAAGAGTTCTTCTTAATGCTTCAGAGGCAGCTCTGACTGTTAGGGTTAGGGTCTTATATGGCAAGTACGAATACTCCTACTCTTAAATCTTCAATACAGCAGGCAGGGAGAACTTCCTTGTTGAATTTTTCACCATGTGCTAAAAGGATGGGGTGAACTTGGAAAGAAACATCCGAACGTCAACTTCATTACAAACAGCAAATTGAGCAGCTGTGGGAGAGAAAGTTCAATTGGGACATAAAAGATCCATTCACTGATTTCAGAAAAGCTATTTCTGAAAATGCACAATAAGTATATAGCACTGGAGTAGCAAAATAAGTGTAAGTCAACTATAGAAAGCTATGATAAACAAGAGGAACAATAAACAGGACCTAAGATTCATTCGCACATATGTAAATAAGACTACAGCACAAAGTAAGGGATACTCTGTCAGCATTATTTGGCATTGGTTGTTGTTTTTGTTCAAATGTTTAATCCATGTCCCAGAAACTTAAGATTTCAAGTCCTTAAAAGGGACTTTTAAAAAGTCTCAAGTAACAATGAATGGAATTAACAGTTTTTTAGCCAGTCATTTTAGTGTCTTAAAAATAGAAAAATATTTTTATGAAGATAAAAAGAATAAGAACCATCCATTGCGTCACCATCTAGAAATAAGCACTGTTGTTTTTCTTTTTGTTTCCTTTTTCTTTTGAGACAGAAACTCAATCTATTGTCCCAGGTTGGAGTGCAGTGGCGTGATCATGGCTCACTGCAACCTCTGCCTCCTGGGCTCGAGTGATCCTCCCACCTCACCGTGTCTGTTTTGTTTAAGAGTATATAGTTATCAATCCTTAAAGCCGAATTTCATTCTTGGTAGTTACTGTTAAAATTAAGCATGAACAATTGAAAGATTTTACAAAGTATATCTATCATATACCTGCGGTGTATCATCCTTGGAGAAGAAATGAACATACACTGAACATAGAAACAACTAAACTTTCTAGATAAATGGAACTAAGAGACTAACTTCTGTTTCAAATGATGACGAATTTCAGAAAGAGAAAAAATTAAGTAGAAAAAAAAGGAGAATGTGAGAGACTGGGGAGAGAAAAAATAAATGAGAGAAGGTGGTAGACCACTAGGATGAAGAAGCAGAAGATGAAGGAGACAGGCAAGATGCTGACCTCTTAGCTCAGTCAAGGTCTGGACTTTGGGGGCCTGTCCTAGCATCATCTCTTGCAGTCTAGCACATGTACATACAGATGCTATGAGAACATATGTCTGTCAAAGGCCAGTGTTTTTCTAGATCAGAAACATTTTGTAGCTCTTCCGGTGGACAGAGTTGGATCATGTGTTCTCTCAAGTATTTTTATAGATTTCAGAAACACTGAAATAATCAGCACTGAACGAATGTAGCCAGGCTTGTTTCTAACCCTGGATTCTGTGCTTTGATTTTGCTATCACGCCCCTCACTGTCAACCACCCTGAAAAGAGACCTTATAAAAAATTATGGCTGGGCGTGGTGGCTCACGCCTGTAATCCCAGCACTTTGGGAGGGCAAGGCGGGCGGATCACCTGAGGTCAGGAGTTCTAGACCAGCCTGGCCAACATAGTGAAACCCCGTCTCTACTAAAAATACAAAAATTAGCAGGGAGTGGTGGCGGGCGCCTGTAGTTCCAGATACTCGGGAGGCTGAGGCAGGAGAATCGCTTGAACCCGGGAGGCGGAGGTTGCAGTGAGCCGAGATAGCGCCACTGCACTCCAGCCTGGCGACAGACTCTGTCTCAAAAAAAAAAAAAAAAAAAAAAATTATGCTGCAGTTTCCTAGGGCTGCTCTAACAAATTATCACAAATGTTGTAGCTGAAAACAACACAAATATGTTATCTTACAGTTTGGGAGGTCAGAAGTCTGAAACGGGTCTCACTAGGTTAAAATCAACAGGAACGCATTCCTCTGGGAGGCTCTGAGACAATCTGGTCCATTCTTTTTCAGCTTCTGGAGGCCTCCCGCATTCCTGGGCTTAGGGCACTGGCCGTCATCTTCAAAGCCAGCGATGACTGATGTAATCTTTCTCACATCGCATTGCTCTGGCACTGACTACCCTGCCTTTCTCTTTCACTTGTTAAGATCCTTGTGTTTCTATTGGGCCCATCTAAAAAATCTAAAATAATCTCCTACCTCAAGATCCTTAACCTAATCACATCTGCAAAATCCCTTTTGTCATATAAAGTAATTTATCCACAGGTTTAAGGGATAGGGCAGCAACATCTTGGGAAGTCATTATTCTGCCTACCTCAAACCTCAAATTGTATTCTGTGATTATTTTTCAAAGGAATAAACTTGGCCAGGCACAGTGGCTCATGCCTGTAATGCCAGCACTTTGGGAGGCCAAGGTGGGCGGATTGCTTGAGGTCAGGAGTTGGAGACCAGCCTGGCCAACGGGGTGCAACCCCATCTCAACTAAACAAAAATATAAAAATTAGCTGGACATGGTGGTGTGCCTGTCATCCCAGCTACTGGGGAGGATGAGGCAGGAGAGTTGCTGGAACCCAGGAGACAGAGGTTGCAGTGAGCCACAGTCGTACCACTGCACTCCAACCTGGGCAACAGAGTGAGACTCCATCTCAAACAAAAAAGAATAAATTCATAAAATCAAATATTTTTTTACTGTGTGATAGAAGCAGAAATTAGAAAGCATTATGACCACCCACGAATCATAAAATCTTTAGTAGGACCAGTAGGTTAACATTTTTCCTGTTGGAGGGAGCGTTTCTTTGATATATAAACTTTCAAGGAGTCATTGAAAGCTTTGGAAGGCTTCTTTCCAAAAATAATCTTTTAGAAAAAGTCTTTCCAAAGAATCCAGTCGTTGTATTTTGGGCAAAATATTAGAAGTATGAGAAGCCAGAGTGTGAAAACTGAGTTAATATTCTTATGAACACGAATACTTGGCAGCCAATATTGAGGCTGAAAATGCATTTAGAATGTTAATGTATTTCCATAGTATTTCAGATCAAAGATACTGAAGGGAACTTAACTGCAAATTAAAAATAGAGAATCTACAGGAATAAGTTACATTTCTTATAGCTTCCTGTGCAATATCAAATCAAGTAGAGCAAGAGGTGGTTCCTACTTTACATAATTTTTCTCAGAAGGATGATTTTGTTTACTACCATTGCCCTGTAAGTATTATGCTTTCAAGGAAGCTCTAACAACTGGTTATCGCTGAGGTTAGTGTCTCTCATGGTACTCGCTTCATGCTCTGTCCATTAGGTAAATGACATGCAAAGATGGCTTCCTCTAAGTTTCTGAGACACAGGTACTCATATTTAACTTCCGTGGAGGAGGAACACAGGAGTGAAATAGAAAGGTCTGCATTTGGTGTCTGTCTTCCCATCCATTCCTAAGAGAAGATGACATAGGCCTACTGCTTATCAAGAGCATTTGACCCTAATGAGTGTCGTTATAGAAAAGTTAGAACCTTTCTATAAGACTTTGTATTTTACTTTCCAGAAAATTCCAATTCACTAAACTGTCCATTTCTTCTCCTACTAGTGTGTTATTTTCAGGGTGTTTTCTTCCTATTATAGTCTCAGAAGGCCCATGCTCAGCTTCCGTAGACCCTGTCCTCTGTCAGTCAGTCACTTCATTTACCCCTAGGTTTTGACTCTTCACAGATTTCTGGATATCTCCCTCCAAAGGGATAGCTCTTCTGTTGCTAATGACTAGCATGAGGGTTGGTAAGTAGTGACAGTAAAATTAACATTCCTTGACCACATGAATGTGAGCAACGCTTTGGATCAGACACCTGATCTCTGCCACACCTTCCAGATTAAGTCAAAAATGCCTATCTTGGTATTCAGGGTCCACCCAATCTGCCTTTCCTGGCTAATTTTCCATGTCTCTCCTATGTTAACCCTGCATTCCAACCAAATGGTCTGTTTCCCATTCCTGGAATCCCTAGGATAAATTCCATTAATTTGCCTGCTTCGGTGTAGTTGTTCATGCCATTCTCCTTCCTCTATTGATCATAGTTCCACTATAATTTTGTTGTAATTATCGGGAACCAAAGAAGCATGACCCTTTCTTCTCATACAAGGTTTGGATCAATTTAGAAATAAGATGCCTAGTAGAAAAAAGCTGGCCATCAAAATGTCTGCTTTATTACAATAAAAGCTTATTTGAAAGCAGTGCTTAGATCTACCTACAGTCTAGGCATACTGCTAATATTACTGTCTATGCAAAAACTGAAATCCCATTCCGTGGAAGTCTCCCCTGGCAAAGGAAGAGCCTGCCCCAAGGTGTTTCCCATGTGGAAGATGCGAGAATATTGCTCCTAGGCAGCCTGAAATGGAGAATATAAGCTGCTCTGATCAGGTATTGTTTCTTCTTCTAAATTCACAAAATAGACGAGTCATTCTCTGCCTGTCTTCACTCGCCAGGATCAGTGATTTTGAAGGTGGGGGTCAGGGTGGGAGTAGAGGAATATAGAGAGAGGCCCAAAGTCACCTTGGCTAAAGTCCCTCTGTGTGGAAACATGAGACCAGGCGCTTTTATGAGGCTTTCTTGAATATGCTTATCTGTGAAACATAATGTTTTCCCCTTTGTGCTCCCAGGTTTGTAGGTTATATCCCTCATGCAGAACTGAGAGAGTGGTTCAGCTACCAAATACCATCTGTTAGTCTGTTCCAGCTACTGTAACCAAATGCCATAAACTGCATGGCTTATAAATAACAGAACCTTATTTCTGACAGTTCTAGAAGCTGGGAAGTCCAAGATCAAGGTGCTGGCAGATTCTGATGAGGGTCCCCTACTTTCTGGTTCATAGATGGCACTCTCTCACAAGTGTGCTCATGTAGCAGAAGGGGCACAAGGAGTATCTCTGAGGCCTCTTTTATGAGGGCACTAATTCCACCTGTGAGGGCTCTGCCCTCATGGCCTAATCACCTCCCACAGTTCCCCACCTCTTACCACCAGCTTAGGGGATTAGGATTTCAACATATGAACTTGGAGGACACACGAATATTCTGACCATAGCATATACTTACTGGTTTTTTATTTCTGATTTTAATTGGTGCTTAAAGGAATATCTAGGTATTCCTAATAACTATTATCCAAACCTTCCACCAATATTTTCAATAAATGCCTGGGGAACAGAAAATGAATGAATTAAAGTATCTACCAATAATATTTTAGAAAAAAAACCTAAAATTTGCACCTTCCTTTTTATTCACAATATGATTTTCATATGTAATATTTAGAATTATTACCAAAAGTTGTAGCAGAGCCTATAAATTAAAAAAAAATTTCAAGGGAGCATATTAGAATTAAGCAGTAAAATGGTAGAAACAAATGGCTTGGTGGGATAAGGAGCAGTAAACATTTTTTTGCATATTCTCCAGTTTTACAAATTTGCCATCTTCACATTTTGGGGGAAAAAAGTTTGAAAGAATGCCTTTTTAAATCCATTGAGAAACATGGATAGCTGATGCTGTGCCCATACTCAAACTTCAAAATTTTCTGGCCCAGCAAAAAAAAAACAAAAAAACAAAAAAAAAAAAACCTACTAAAAAATAATAGTTTATTGAAGACAAGAAAAAAATATTACTCTGCCTTATTCATATGCCTGGGAATACAATATATTTGAAATGTATTATTTCTAAATGAATAACAAACTTGTAAACCAACACAATCAAATGAATTCATTTTCATACTAGTTATGTGTTACAGAGCAACAAATTACTCCAGATTGTAGTAGCCTAAAGCAAGAAACTCATTATTTCACAGTGTCTGTGGGTCAAGATTTCAGGCACAGCTTAGCTGAGTGCCTGTGGCCTGGGTCTCTCACAGTCAAGATGCAATCAAGATGCTGATGTCAGTGAGGGCCGCACTGATCATAAGGCCCAAGAGGGTAAAGATCCACTTCCAAAATCATTCAAATGCTGCTGGCAAGTCTCAGCTCTTTGCTAGTCATCGACTGGGCACATCTGTTCTTTCTCATGGAGCCTCGTCATGGGGCTGACCACATGGCATCCCGGTTCACCAAGAGGGAGAGTTCTGACACAGAGAGAGGAGACAGCGAGAGAGAGAATGAATGCACAAAACAGAAGCCACAGTCTTGTAATAGTCTAATCATGGAAATGACATTTCATCACTTCACCGTATTGTATTCTTTGGAAGCAAGTCACTAGGTCCAGCGAGTCTCAGAGGGAGGGGATTATACAAAGGCATGAATACCAGGAGTTGGGGATCCTTTGGGATCACCGTAGAAGCTTTCCTACATATCCTTCTTTCCTACCTTGTCTGGATAAGTTCTGTCTGTTCCTGGAGACAGCTGAAGAATTTCCTCTTCCAGGAAGCTCCCTCCACACAGCTGAGCCTCCTCCTCTCTGCTTCTGCAGCAGCTTGGGCCCCCTGTATCAGGGCATCCTGAACTGCACAGGTGCCTTGTGAGCACCTGTCTCCTTGCGTGTCTCCCTCTTCGGGCTCTTATTCCTCAACAGCCAGGTTCCTGTCTTACTCAATTCCCATGCCTAGTTCACAGCACAGACCGTGTGCTATGTACAGATGTCTCGTATGGAGCTATAAATTATAATTGAACATAACAGAATTTCATTCACGTTACCTGCAGAAAATAAATACTGCGGTGAATCTCACTCACTTGCCCCTAATACTCCTCTGCAATATTTAAGCACGGAGGTCAAACAGTTTCCTCCGTTTGGGAACTTGATATTTAATGAAACATTTTATGAGTCCGTTGACATTGCTTACCTCAGCTGCAGTTCCACAGATGACTTCGGAATGTGTGAAATAGATCTCTTATTCTTCACTGATAAAACTTCGGGTCAGACTCTCACACAACTGCACACATGGTAGCTTTGCTCCACTCACACCTTGTCTACAGCCTAGATGTTTGCAAATAGTGCTTTGGTTTTTCTTTAAAATATCCTTTTGCTATTACTATATATGCCCACTGCTTTGTTCAGTTGAAAAATAGCGTGGCTAGCCGGGCATGGTGGTGCCTGCCTGTAATCCCAGCTACTCGGGTGGCTGAGGCAGGACAATTGCTTGAACCCGGGAGGCGGAGGTTGCGGTGAGCCGAGATCACACCATTGCACTCCAGCCTGGGCAACAAGAGTGAAACTCCATCTCAACAACAACAACAAAAAAGCGTGGCTCTGTTATGCCCTGGCACTGTGCTAGGTCCCCAACATTCACAGAAGACTAAAATATAATTTCTAATGTGGGAGACAAAGGTTTATAAGCCAAAGAGACACAACTCATCAGCTGGATTTTGCACTGTGACAAGAACTGACTTAGAGGAGCGTGGCTGTCTTCTAATTCAGGGACTCTGGAGGGATGTGTAACTAAGGTTCAGGTCAGCACACCCAATGCAACATGCATACTCTGTGCAGAAAGTAAATTGAAAACTCTGCTTGAGGGTCTCAGTGGACCTCAAAGCAGCCCTGACATTTTCTTGTAAGTTAGTGCAGCATAGGAGTTCCAATTCTGCGTTCATCCTCCACAGTGAGTCCCCAGGAGAGGGACCAGAGAATGGAGTAAAAACAAAGGGAAGGGAGAGAAACCACAGCTCTAGTGGTCACAATGACACCAGGACCAGTAGAAGCCTGAGTCATACAATAATTTCTACTGGTTCAGTTTCTACTGAATAATTTCCACCATTAAAAATGACTCCAAGCACTTACACATGGGTGAAACCTAGAAAGTGAAACAATTGCTTGTTATATCTTGTTAGCAGGCAAAGAAAGGATGGTGAAATCAGCTGTTGGTGAAATTCTGACAGCAGGGAAAGTCGGGGGCTGGCATTTCTGGCAGGCATGAGAGCCACAAACGGGTGACAGAATATCTCAAGAGACAATCTAGCCTTATTCTTAATTTTTGCTTAACATATTTGTTTTGACATAACATTCTCATACATCTTTAAGTTGAGAATCAGAAACATGTCTTTGTTATAATAATATTGTTGATGTCAAAGAAACACAGAGCATATGCTGTCTTAGGAATTCTAAATGGCAAATGACATGTGTGTCTGTATAACAAAGACAAGGAGAGATAGAGACAAATATAAGGAGAGAAATGCAAACCAACTCTCAAAGTCCTTAAATCATATTATAAGTGGGCAAAGACAAGGAAAGACAGAAATAGAGACAAATATAAGGAAAGCAATGCAAACCAACACTCCAAGCCCTTAAATCATATTCTAAGTGGATAAAATGTCACATGTGAAAGAAGTGAGATACCAGATACTTGTGGGAACTAAAAATGGTTGGGCGTGTCCAGAGCATATAAAGAATGGGCAGCAGATATAGTTGGATGGGTAGGCAGAAGCTAGTGATAAAATATTGGATATCTTAAACCAAGTCCTTGAACTTTATTCTGGAAGATTGTGATTTAATGGATTTAATGGGGCTGTACGTCTTAACATAAGAAGGGAAGATTATGTTAAGAAGCCATACATAGGGAAAAAATAAATTCTCTCGGATCAAGTTACTTCAGTAAACATATTTACTAACTGTATTAATATTATGACTCTTTCATATTCCGATATGTTGTTTCCTAAATTTATTTTCCAACAGAAACTTTTTCTTGGGGAGCATGGGTTTCAGGATCTCAAGGAGCCAGTAGTCCAATTGTTTTAGAAAATATTGTTAGGCTGGGTGCAGTGGCTCACATCTGTAATCCCAGCACTTCGGAAGGTTGAGGCAGGCAGATCACTTGAGGTCAGGAGTTTGACACCAGCCTGTCCAACATGGTGAAACCCCATCTGTACTAAAATACAAAAATTAGCCAGGTGTGGTGGTGTGTGCCTGTAATCCCAGCTACTCGAGAGGCTGAGGCAGGAGCATTGCTTGAACATGGGAGGAGGAGGTTGAAGTGAGCCGAGATCACCCCACTGCACTCCAGCCTGGGAGACAGAGTGAGACTCCATCTCAAAAAAAAAAAAAAAAAGGAAAAGAAAATATTGTTGTGGAAAAACATTGCAGGAATGCTTGAATCTTTGGCATTTTTAAAAAATCTAATTCACAGTGTGACTTTGGGACAAATAAGTTCATTTGTTTGGGCTTTCTCTTGTGGACTAAGGAGGTAGAAGAAAATTAAGCAGTTTCTGGGATCCCTTCTGGCAGTATATTCTCCTAGTCTATGGAAAATATGCTATAATCAGCCTGTCTGGAATATAGATATCAAGCTCGAGGTAAAGTTTTACTCGTGAGGATTAAATCAGTGAGAAGTAGCATATTTAAGAAAAAAATATACAATCAACTTGAGCACTCTAATAATGGTTTAGTGCTCATTGCTTGAAGGAATAATTTTTGACAAGGTCCTGATTTTAAAGGCTAATGTTCATTTTTTGCCTCGACCATAAGTAAGAGCTAGAACCTGTAGTATATAGGTCAACAGATTCTAAAATATATTTCAGTATGTGCTCACCAAATCAATTAGATTTTTTAAGTGAAAATGAAAACCTCTTTGAGTTCAGTCCTAGGCTAGCTGGTAAAGATGGAGGAATCATGTGCTCATGACTAGTCCTCTTCCACCGGTATGTCAAGTATTAAGAGAAAGAAGAAAGACGTTTCCAAATAACTTGGGATTTGGGGACTTTGGCTTAATTTGTACTTGTATTTGTTTCCTTAGACTATAAGCCACGGATTAAGTTTTTCTGTCATTAAGGCACCATTAACTATTAGAACAGGTTAACATTAACCAATAGAACAGGTATACCTTTGATTTCCATGAATTATGGAAGACAGGCATTTCTTTTTTTTTTTTTTTTTTTTTTTTTTTGATGGAGTCTTTCTCTGTCACCTGGGCTGGAGTGCAGTGGTGTGATCTCGGCTCACTGCAAGCTCCATCTCCTGGGTTCACACCATTCTTCTGCCTCAGCCTCCCAAGTAGCTGGGACTACAGGTGCCCACCACCATGTATGGCTAATTTTCTTGTATTTTTAGTAGAGACAGGGTTTCACTGTGTTAGCCAGGATGGTCTCGATCTCCTGACCTTGTGATCCGCCCACCTCGGCCTCCCACAGTGCTGGGATTACAGGCGTGAGCAACTGTGCCCGGCCAAGACAGGTATTTCTTTTCATATTTTATAAATTAGAAAACCAAGGTTTAGAAATCTTAGAGAGCATACCCAAGGTCCTAAAAAGTGAAAAGCTGCAAAATTGGAAATGCAGCTTAAGTCCTCTCAGTATGCGCAGCGTTATACCTCATTTTCTAAAAGATAGCATTTCTCAAGAAAATGTATACATACTGTATGAAAGTCCCTGTAAATAATGCAAATGCTTGTTGAATTTTTAAAATGTATTCTGAAACTCTTGTCAAAATAATAGTTAGTTTTTACCAAGTAGCATCAGTAGCCACATTACATAGCAGAATTTAAATTATAATGGCTTGAATCTTCTTACTCTTTGGCACAGGTGAGACCAGGCAGGCACACTAGGGAGGGGCAGATGTGAGCCGTGTAACTATCTCATTCCCTTAGGAAGCCCTTTTTACAAAAGCAAAGTTGGCTTCTGTCATAGTTTTGATTCTTCTCAAGTCAGATTCTGAGATTAAGACCCAGGCTGGCCTGAGACTAGGAGAAGGATTATTTGGGAGGTTATCCTGGAAAGCCCAAGTGAAGGAGTGGAGATAATAAGACAGGAGAGGGAGGAAAGCAAACAAACAAAAAAAGTGCATTGATAGGGAGAAACTGCTGCTATTAATTGAGCTCAATCCCACTGGAGAGTCTCTGAGAAACCTTTTGGTACGTGGGGATGCTGGGACGTTATTCACTGACTCCTGTCCTGTGTTGGTTCAGGGTGGACTCTAAGGATATTGACTTTCACACACTTCCAGGTTGCACCTATATGTGGCCAAGCAGGCTCCCTTTGAGCCCAAGGAAGTCCATGAAGAGACATAAGTTTCTGAGGTGGGAAGCTGTTTACTCTAAATAGTCAAACTCAATTGTGGCTGAACTCAGAAGAATATTTAGGGGAGAAAAATACATGAAGTTCTATTTCCTCATTCACAGGGATCGTGGCATAAGGCAGACTGCATGGGTTAGGGTAGTTTGGGCTGCCAGTAAGTGTAACATTCTCTGTGCGAAGGCCACATTGGTTGGTTTTCTAAGGATGCAGGTGTGTCTCATGGCACAGGAGGCCAGAGAAGGGCTCAGAAAGGCTGCAGAGCATGAACAGAACCTTACTCATTCTGTCTCTCACTTGGTCTCCCTCAGTGTGCTAGCTTTCCCTCTCTCCTTTACACACAACACTCACAGACACACATGCACACACATACATGTACACACATGCATTCACGCATGTGTGCTCACACACAGACTAGCTTTTTCTGTTTTTCTTGTACATCTTACATGTTCCTGGTTTAATCATAAGACAAATGGCCTCTCTCTTCTGGTAACAATTTTATATTCCTGGTCAAGGGAGCTAGGTTGGCCCACACATGAGAGGGAACAGTGGAAGTAGGATGTGTAATGCCCAGAAGAACAGGCATCGGAGGAGAGCCCAGGAGTTGATTCTATATGTAAATCTGTTATAATACCAATCCGAACAAGCTAGTATTCTATCAAATAGCCAAATGCAGAGGTAAGCAGGAAGTAAGTAATATCTTTTGTGATTTTTTAAAATGACACACAGTAGATGAGCTCAGAACATATACAGTACAGTAGCCACTGGGCAACCATTAGATAAACAAGAAAAGAGCCAGACCATGGGGATGAAACCATCTTTAATCATGGCAAGTGGAATAATGTGTAAAAAAGTTATGCTAATCATAAAATGGAAACGATACATGTCCATTTTAGAATCAAATGGCACAGAAAATATGTGAGCATATCAGCACCATCTATCTACATTATACCCTTGAGAGCTTGTAGATTCTGAGTTTAACAGCACCATATCATGAAAAATGACACTGGACAATTTGGATTGTTTTTATACCATGGGTCTCAGTGAGAAAGTCAGCTTTCTCTTTCCCAATGCAAATAAAGATTAGCAAATATATTTAATATTTATACCTGTTCTGGTGATTCATTTTGGCTTTTGAAAGTGAACTCCACCATAAAAAGATAAAAACCAATCTTCCTTTTCTCATTCCTTCCATTATTCATTCATTTATTGATATTACTATATTATAGGCACTGTGCCACTCTCTCTGTAGAAGCGCCTGACAGTAGAAACAAGGGCTTCATCCTCCTGGCTATGATCATGAGGCTACAACATAACACTGTGGCTTTTTGAGAATTATTTCACAGCCTATTTCCAGAGCAAAGTAACAATGCTGTTTTTTTTTTGGTTTCTATTTTCTTGTTTGTTTGTTTGTTTATGAAGTCAAACTATTATGGTGATGTTACCAACTTCTTTCAAAGCAGAGGCCAGGGAATCAAGGACGTTGAGGCTTAATAAAATAAAAGCAAAGTATGTTTGTATATTTTTCATGTGTTAGGACTACAGGTTTCCAGAAAATAAACCTTTAGTGCATAGGCAATTTTATCATTAGAGATTTCAAAGGGGATATGCATTTATCGCTATCAACAGAGCCGGATAAAAAGATTTTTTTCTGACTATTTCCATAATGTTCCATTATGTTTTTAAACATGAAAAATTTATTCCAAAGGCCAGGAAATCACAGGACTCCACCAGGTGTGATAAGGTCCCAATCTAATAAAAGTTTAACTATCTCTCTGGCTATTAGTGTTTATTTATTCAAGAAAGGTCCAGAATGTTATTTTGAATATTCAGTGTATTATCAATAATCGTGGGGATTGTGATGACAGTAGTGGCAATGACAAAAATAACATCTGTATTAGTCTGTTTTCACACTGCTGATAAGGACATACCTGAGACTGCTAAGAAAAAGAAGTTTAATTGGACTTATAGTTCCACATGTGTGAGGAGGCCTCAGAATCATGGTGGAAGGCAAAAGGCACTTTTTTTTTTTTTTTTTGAGACAGAGTCTTGCTTTGCTGCCCAGGCTGGAGTGCAGTGGCACGATCTCAGCTCACCACAACCTCCACCTCCTGGGTTCAAGTGATTCATCAGCCTTCCAAGTAGCTGGGACTATAGGCGTGTGCCTCCGTGCCTGGCTAATTTTTGTATTTTTAGTGGAGATGGGGTTTCACTGTGTTGGCCAGGCTGGTCTCGAACTTCTGACCTTGTGATCTGCCTGCCTCAGGCTCCCAAAGTGCTGGGATTACAGGGGTGAGCCACCGCACCCAGCTGAAAGGCATTTCTTACATGGCAGTGGCAAGAAAAAATGAAGAAGAAGCAAAAGCAGAAACCCCTAATAGACCCATTAGATCTCATGAGACTTATTGACTACCACAAAAATAGCACAGGAAAGACTGGCACCCTGGATTCAGTTACCTCCCCCTCAGTCCCTCCTACAACACATGGGAATTCTGGGAGATACAATTCAAGTTGAGATTTGGGTGAGGACACAGTCAAACCATATCATTCCGCCACTGACTCCTCCAAATCTCATGTCCTCACATTTCAAAACCAATCATGCCTTCCCAATAGTCCCCCAAAGTCTTAACTCATTTCGACATTAACTCAAAAGTCCACAGTCCAAAGTCTCATCTGAGACAAGGCAAGTCCTTTCCACCTATGAGCCTGTAAAATCAAAAGCAAGCTAGTTGCTTTCTAGATACAATAGGATTACAGGTTTTGGACAAATACAGCGGTTCCAAAGGGGAGAAATTGGCCGAAACAAAGGAGCTACAGGGACCATGCAAGTCTGAAATCCAGTGGGGCAGTCAAATTTTAAAGCTCCAAAATGATCTCCTTTGACCCCAGATCTGACATCCAGGTCACGCTGATGCAAGGGGTGGGTTCCCATGGTCTTGGGCAACTCCTCCCCTATGGCTTTACAGGGTACAGCCTCCTTCCCAGATGTTTCATGGGCTGGAGTTGAGTGTCTGTGGCTTTTCCAAGTTCAAGGTGCAAGCTGTCAGTGGATCTAACATTTTGGGGTCTGGAGGATGGTGGCCCTCTTCTTACAGCTCCACTAGGCAGTGCCCCAGTTAGGACTCTGTGTGGGGACTCCAACCCCACATTTCCCTTCCTCACTGCCCTAGCAGAGGTTCTCCATGAGGGCCCCATCCCTGCAGCAAATTTCTGCCTTAGCATCTAGGCGCTTCCATACATCCTCTGAAATCTAGGCAGAGGTTCCCAAACCTCAATTCCTGACTTCTGTGTACCTGCAGGCTCAACACCACATGGAATCTACCAAGGCTTAGGGCTTACACCCTCTGAAACCACAGCCCAAGCTGTACATTGGCCCCTTTCAGCCATGGCTGGAGAGGCTGGTACACAGGACACCAAGTCCCTAGGCTGCACGTAGCACGGGGAACCTGGGCCTGGCCCATGAAACCACTTTTTCCTCATGGGCCTCCAGGCCTGTGATGGGAGGGGCTGCTGTGAAGGTCTTTGACATGACCTGGAGACATTTTCCCCATGGTCTTGGGGATAACATTAGGCTCCTTGCTGGTTATGCAAATTTCTGCAGCCGGCTTGAATTTCTCCCCAGAAAATGGGTTTTTCTTTTCTTTTTTTTTTTTTTTTCCGAGACAAAGTCTCACTCTGTCACCCAGGCTGGAATGCAGTGGTGTGATCTCAGCTCACTGCAAGCTTCAACTCCTGGGTTCACGCCATTCTCCTGCCTCAGCCTCCCGAGTAGCTGGGACTACAGGTGCCTGCCACCATGTCCGACTAATTTTTTTGTATTTTTAGTAGAGACAGGGTTTCACCATGTTAGCCAGGATGGTCTCGATCTCCTGACCTTGTGATCTGCCCGCCTCGGCCTCCCAAAGTGCTGGGATTACAGGCATGAGCCACCATGCCCGGCCAGGTTTTTCTTTTCTATCACATAGTCAGGCTGCAAATTTTCCAAACCTTTATACTCTGCTTCCTTTCTAAAACTGAATGCCTTTAACAGTACCTAAGTTACCTCTTGAATGTTTTGCTGCTTAGAAATTTATTCCGCCAGATGCCGTAAATCAACTCTCTCAAGTTCAAAGTTCCACACATCTCTAGGGCAGGGGCAAAATGCCACCAGTCTCTTTGCTAAACATAACAAAACTTACCTTTGATCCTGTTCCCAATAATTTCCTCATCTCCATCTGAGACCACCTCAGCCTGGATTTTATTGTTCATGTCACTATCAGCATTTTGGACAAAGCCATTCAACAAGTCTCTAGGAGGTTCCAAACTTTCCCACATTTTCTGATCTTCTCAGCCCTCCAAACTGTTCCAGCCTCTGCCTGTTACCCAGTTCCAAAGTTGCTTCACACATTTTCGGGTATCTTTTCAGCAGCGCCCCACTCTACTGCTACCAATTTACTGTATTAGTCTGTTTTCATGCTGCTGATGAAGACATACCTGACACTGGGAAGAAAAAGGAAGTTTAATTGGACTTACAGTTTCACATGACTGAGGAGGCCTCAGAATCATGGTGGAAGGTGAAAGACACTTCTTACGTGGCAGCAGCAAGAGAAAATGAGGAAGAAGTAAAAGCAGAAACCCCTGATAAACCCATCAGATCTCATGAGACTTATTTACTATCACAAGAATAGAGTGGGAAAGACCAGCCCCCATGATTCAATTACCTCCCCCTGAGTTCCTCCCACAACATGTGGGAATTCTGGGAGATACAACTCAAGTTGAGATTTGGGCAGGGACACAGCCAAACCATATCAATATCTTACTTTTGTATTAAATAATATGATTCCTGAAGTAGTTACTCATATACTGCCCCATTTATTTCTCATAAGAACTCTGGGAGAAAAAATCTATCACCTCTGTTTTACTGATGAGTAAATGTAGACTGAAAGAATTCAGATGATGTGTAAGAGAACACATAGATTATAATGACAAAGCTATAGCTGGAATTCAGTTTCTGTTTGGGGATGTTGTTTTGTTTTATTTTGATCTTAGAAAAAACTAAAAGTTATCATAAAAGACTTTATTCTAACTGCAAATTCAAAGATAATGTTTATTCATGCCTAGGACAAAATTTCTATTAACAATCAAATATTACAGAAGGTTGTGAATTTTTGATGACCTGATTATGTTTACATAAGTCTCTACCTTTTCTAAACCTCATAAATATGAAACCTTTGGGTGAACTCTTCCCAGAACTGATTTCCATAAACTTACTGAAAATGAGTAGGAAGAAAGAGCTCAAGGGACAAGTACTTATTGTGTATACTCTTTAGTGATACAGAAATAAAAGAAAAGTTAAATACCTATATTTATAAAATTGAATCTTTTAAAGTCAGCTGACAGGTCAAAATGCAGGTAACATTTTTAAGCTTCATGCTTAAAAAAATAAGCTTTATTTAAAAAAAAAAAAATACTTACTTGGAGCCAGGCACAATGGCTCATATGTGTAATCCCAGCTACTCAGGAGGCTGAGGCAAGAGGATCACTTGAGCCCAGGAGATCCCATCTCAAAAAAAAAAAAAGCACCTTACTTTTTACTTCATTGCCTCAGTGATAGCAGACCAACAGGGCATTGGTAAGAATAGTTTTAACTATACTCACAATCATATACTGGCTTCAGTTGTACTAGCAACAGTTAAAATTGAAGACACATTAAGCATGTAATAAATGTGAACTATCAATAAGTGAAACCATTAGAACTAGTATTAAACCGTTTCATTCTTAACATCCTTTACAGATAAAGAATCAGAGACTGAGAGAGCTTAATAATACCACTATTCAGTTAGCAAGCTATTCTGTGGTTTAAAGAGATCAGTATTGCCTTTAACTTTCTGGCTTTTAGAATTTACGCAATTCTCTATCAACATGGAGGCTCAACCTGATTTTGGGGCATTGTGTAAGCCAGTAGTTTTCAACCTGGAGTGATTTTGACCCCCAGGTGACATTTGGCAATGCCTAGAGACATTTGTGATTGTCCCATTTGGTTGGGGTTGCTATGGTATCTAATGGGAGAGGCCAGTAACGCTGGTGAACATCCTACAAAGCACTGCAGAGCCCCTGGCAAAGAATTTTCCAGCCCAAAACGTCAGTGGTGCTGAGGTTGAGAAACCTTGATATAGCCCTCTAAGACTGAATATTAATGAAAATGTTTATTTAAATCAGTTTGTATGGTCCCAGTGCCACTTAGAATTATATTTCTTAACAAGTTAGAGCTCAATTTCCTCTGCCCAGGCCTCCTTAGGATACAGAAGAATAAGCCAGTAGTACCCTTACACGGAACAGGATAGGGCAATCATATGATTCTGAATGCCAAGGGGACTTTCAGATTGATGGTTTCGTAAAGTGACTGACACCTTGGACGGTTCCCAAGAAAATTACTAAAACTTGAGTCTTTTGCAGGTATGCAAAACCCATGAATTTCATAAAAAATAAATCTTTATTTCAAAGATGGGACTTTTAAAGTTTAAAGTGGCCTTCGGGTGGAGAAAGAACTAGGAATCAAAATTTCAATGGGCAATAAAAACAAGTGATAATTTCCTTTGATTCTCACAATCAAGATGAAGCAGGATTGTGATAAGAGCTTAGCATTTCTATCCACTCGTTGAAATTTATCAAATGCCTCTCCCTGACTTCTCGCCCTTACACTGAAGTAGATATCCAAAGACTTCAGATATATACACTATGGACAAGTATTTCCCCTCACTTGCAGAAATTCAAGTGGCACCAGCAGTTTGGAGACAGAAGTCTCAGTGGGCGCAAGGAAGCTGGGGTCTGGGGCCTGACTCTTCCCTGCCATTTTGGTGCCCCTTCCCGCCTACCCACGCCCTACCCCAATGTGTGGCATTATCCAGGGGGTTATTAAATATTGAAATACAGCTTGACAAACATCTGATAACAATAGGTGGCCAAGGCCGGGCGCGGTGGTTCATGCCTATAATCCCAGCACTTTGAGAGGCCGAGGCGGATGGATCACCTGAGGTCAGGAGTTTGAGACCAGCCTGGACAACATGGTGAAACCCCGTCTCTACTAAAAATACAAAATTATCTGGGCCTGATGGCGGGCCCCTGTAATCCCAGCTACTCAGGAGGCTGAGGCAGGAGAATTGCTTGAACCCAGGAGGCGGAGCTTGCAGTGAGTCAAGATCGCGCCACTGCACTGCAGCCTGAGCGAAAGAGTGAGACTCTGTCTCAGAAAAATAAAAATAAATAAATAAATAAATAAAAAGGTGGCCACCAGCTGTGTCAAAATCAACTAGTTAAAAGGTGGAAATTAAATATGACAGTGGAAAAAGATTTCTAGTTGGAGAATGAAAACTTCCTAAAATCTAAGATGGCTGCCATTAAATGATATTCAGATTCTTCCCGGGTTCTTGCTTTTGGATGAATAAATGGCTTTTTCTTCCTCCAAAGTTCTAATCTGATGAATGTGTAATGGAGATAAATGTTTTGGAAATATCTCCATTTGCCTGGCTCCTCGGTGTCTCTGTGTAGGACTTTCTCCCCACTCAGGCCAAGCTTCCATCTGTGAGTGGAAGATGGGGAGGAGGCGAGGACCGCGAAGGTCACAATAAGAATGCAAATACAGCAGTAAAAACAGTTTAATATTCACCCTCTGTCAGCAAAAATAGGCTTTCCTAGTCTGCAGCAATGTACTGGAACAGACGTAAAAGACAGGCGTTGCCAGGAAATAGGGATTTACTAAATTCCTTTATATTCCCATTTAATATATCAAGAGGCAGTCCTGGTATCCTTGATCATATAGCATTTCCCAACAAGGAGGTTAGAACCAGACAGGAAGAGGAGAGAAATCCACACATACTCACCCCAGTAGGGGAAGAAACAAATCTCTGAAGCTCTGAGCACTTACATGACTCACCGTGGCAGGAACTAAGCTACCCAAGACAACTTTTAAAATTATTGCATCCACAGAGTTTACCAAATGAGTCTGAAATTTAACATGTTTCTTTTCCCAGCATTTTAAAATCAATTCCTCCTTTGAAACTCCTCTCCAATTACTCTTCATCTGTATAAATTCAAATATATTTTCATTCATTTACTCATTCAACAAATATTTATTGAGCATCTATCACGCACAGGGTGCTGCGAATGTGCCAGTGAGTAGGTACAGATAAAGTCCCTGCCCTCTTGAAACTTACTTTTTAGTTGGAGAGAAAAAGAAAAGTAAATATCATTTCTGGCTGTGATAAATTTCATGAAGAAAAACAAACAAGAACTTCCTGGTCCTCGTGCTCACTCCCTTCCAACAGTTTTGGGGGACACCAAAGGGACAGAGAGGAGTCAAGCCCCAGACCCCAGCTGCCTTGTGCCCACTGGGACTTCTGTCTCCAAAATGCTGGTGCCACTTGAGTTTTTGCGAGTGAGGGGAAATATCTGTCCATGGTGTATGTGTCCGAAATCTTTGGACATCTACTTCAGTGGGAGGGAGAGGAGTCCTGGAGAGGGCTCAGTACATTTCAAGGTGGTGAGAGCAGTGCTAACACGCAGCGTTCTCTGACTTCCTAATGTACCTCCCTCTCTGCCATCAGACTAAAATTTTTCAATAGCTGCTTGATGCAATCACTTTCTTTTTCAAGACCCGCAACTGCTCATACTGCCTGATGCTACCTCCCAGGCCTTGAACATAGCTTCAAATAATGTGTTTAACCTATGCCTGGCCGTAAAGCCTCCCCTCTCACCACGCCACCTCTTCTAAAGTCACATAAAAATCCCAGTTCTCTGTCCACACATCTAAGAATGGACACTCCTCTGTCTTCTCTTCCCTATCTTTCTAAATCTGACCCTTTTATTAAGATTCAACCAGTTTCCTGCCTGCTCTATTCCATTCAACACCCAGACCACAGTGATACCTCCTTTGTCTAATCTTTCACAATACACTTTAGCACGTTACAGATTCCCAAATGTGGAAAGAACCATGCTGGTCTTTTAGTCTAGCATTAAATACAATGTGAGTAACACAGTTATAACCTTTCTAATAGGTAGTCTCAGACTTTCACACTCTTTCCTAATGTTTTTCAAATAAGTACATTTTTAAAAATGCAAATACACAGTGGTAAATTAAATTATTTTGATTATTAAGCATTCATAATCATAAAGCTATGAATAAATCTGTATGCTTGGAACTCTTATATAATCGTAAAAGAAAACAAACTTAAAAATTATATTCAAACTGAATAACAAAATTCATTCATTCCAAATGATCAACATTAATTTAATGTGACATGTAATATTTTGCTAAAGTAAAGTACCTATTCTCAATGTAAATGTGGTATTGGCTACTATCAAATGCAATATGTAATAGTGGGGCCTTACTTACCTACAAAGGCCATCTCTGTCATTTTTTCTTAAAGAACCTTAAAAAAAAAAAGTTGTAGCTTCTTACTAAAGAAATCTCCAATGCTAACACAATATAAGCGTGACTTAATTACAGGGTGATAATCTAGATCATGTGGACTTTTCAGCCCATTAAAAATTAAAATGAAAAATCTAACCATTTTCAAAGAAACGCACATCTTTTATCATATGCCTTCATATAACAAGGGTCCAGAAATCCATGTTATAAAGGTTTGTACTGATTCAGGTGTTTATATTTTGACTCTGAAAATGGATCTATGTAAAATGTGCTGACAAAAAGGGCTATTTTTAAGTTTTGTGCATTTTTCCTTATAGTACCTAAAAATGCATGTAGCACATGCTGGATGTTAACTAAAGATTCCTTGAATATATTATCTCTATTTATTTTATTTCTTCTGATGTGAATTTGAAAAAACATTTATTTACAGACCACTAAAAATCTCCCAGGAAGCTGAGTTAGTGGTGACTGTTTGATTCTAACCTTCTGAACAAATGTTTTCATGAACTCCATGAAGCTTTTTAATAAACTTACTCCTCACAGTGATGCAAGTCAAATTTAAGACAGAAGAAACTAAACGTTCATCGGTATAAGAAAATCTAAGTCAAGGTGGCCAAAAAATCAAGCAATCTTTTAAGAATGTTGAATCAAATGTGGTTGTTGGTGAATGAAAATTTCTTCTATTGCAGACAATTATTTGAAGGGTACATCTTTTTAATACTATTTCCAACTGTCTCCTAGAGTGATAGTAGCCCTGTTAAACAATTAGTAAAACAAACAACAACAAAAAACACATTAGGCCAAGTGCAGTGACTCACGCCTGTAATTCCAACTCTTTGGAAGGCCAAGGAGGAAGGATCACTTGAAGCCAGGAGTTCAAGACCAGTCTGGGAAACATAGTGAGACCCCCTTCTACAAAAAAATAAAAACTTAGCCCATGAGGTGGCACGCATCTATAGTCCCAACTACTCGGGAGGCTGAGGCAGGAGGATCGCTTGAGCCCAGGAGGTCAAGGCTGCAATGAGCTGTGATCATGCCACTGTACTCCAGCCTGGGAAACAGAGTGAGATTATATATATAAAAAAAAATCCCTCCTATCTTTGAAATTTTCATAGAGCCACCTGTAGTTTGGATGTTTCCCAGGGAACACAATAAAAACAAATTCAATAATCCTCAACTAAAAGGCCTGATATCATGTTTATGCCAGTTTTTTTTCCTGAGTATTTTAACTTTTTTTCTCTACTTAGTTTCATCAATTAAAGGCTTATTGTTAAGGGAGAAAAGCATTAGGACCCCTAGTAAGATGCTCCAGGGAGTGTGTTTTCAGCTCAATGTAAGAAAAAAATTTTTGAACCGTCAGTACTCTTTGAAACTCTGTTTATTCCAAGATAGTGAGGTGTCTCTTAATATAACAGCTTATACAGGGGCTGAATGATGCCAGCTTTGGGCTTAATGTTGTTTTTAGGTTATCTAGACAGTTCTGATTTTAGAATGTTCATAAGTTAGGTCTGAATTAATAAGCCAATAGGTTCTTATTTCAAAAGAATATATATATACACACATATATATACATATATCAAAAATGTGAGCTAAATTCCCATTTATCTTTAGTATTCTCCATATCTCTTTCATTTCCAGAGTAATGGTCCTTGGGAAGATAATAGCTAGCATAATGAGACCTGGTACTTACACAGCACTCAATAAGTACAAGACTCTCTAAATGTTCATTCCTCACAAAACTCTATGAGATACATTATAGTGCTATTCCCCTTCTACAGATAATGGAACTGGGACACTAAAGGTTAAGTGATGTGCTGATACTTCCAAAGCTCATAAACAGAAGAGTCATCCAGAGCCAAACTATTTTGGCTTCAAAGTCCAGGCACTTAGACAGTGACGCTATCCACTCACTAGTACCTTCTGGAGAAGCCACTAGGATAGTCTGAGAATATTACTGGACTACTAAACAAATTGAGATTCTTGAAAGCTGAATTGTGTTGTGTTTTTACCCCATCATCACAAACCTTTACATTTGTTCAGACCAGGAAAATAAATGTCAGATGCCAATGTAGTGACACTATCAACTCCCAGGTGTAATCAAGTAGAGACTGAGATCCCTACACCAAGTCAAAAACTTTTATTTCTTTGCATACTATGGACCATGGTGTCAGGAATAATCACAACCCAAAGAATCAGGGAATACAGAATTTTAGAGCTGGAAGCATTTTTAGGAATTGTTCATTCTTTCTTTGTTATTACAGAAATGAGGATACTGACTTCTACTGAGAGGATCGTATTTCAAGACCATGTGATGGCTTTATAACTGCTCTTTCTGACTCTACTGTTAACTCTCTCATGTCCAGGCTCATACCAGCCAAAGGAAATTCGTAATAAAATTTGATCCTCTCTATAATTGCTATTCCTGATTCCACTGTTAACTCTCTCATGTCTAGGCTGATACCAGACAAAGGAAATTAGTAATAAAATTTGATCATCTCATTCTGCTTCTTTACACTCCTTCAAATGTTCTGCATTACTTTGAGACTTAATCAAAGTCCTTCAGTTAAAGCATCAGTTCTTTGAAGACCTGGTCCCTGATTGTCTGCAGTCTCATCAGCTCCTACTTGCTCCTCTTGAAATCTGGACTCCAGTCACTCTGAGTGTCACTCCAGACCCCCCAGAACATCACACTCTTACCTCCATCCTTTACACATCTCTTTCCTTCTACTTTCACAGCACTTCCCCTGGACTCTTCTGTCTGCCTCCACTTCATTTTTCAGAATGCAGCTTAATACCTCCAAAGAAAGTCACCTCTAACCCAGAGGTCACATTTGTTCTGTTTAGTTATTCAAACTCCCAATTTAAACAAGTCTGCCTATATTGTTTCCTAACCTATGACAGATATAAAGAGTAAGTTATATTTCTGTGCATTAGGATACAAGAAGAGCAATTAGAATTTGCACAATGCAACATGACATCTCCAGTAACAATATATTGCAAGGATTCACTACTTATAAAAAGGGAAACAAGGAGGGCAGATCACAAGGTCAGGAGATCGAGAGCATCCTGGCCAACATGGTGAAACTCCATCTCTACTAAAAATGTAAAAATAAGCTGGGCATGGTGGCACGTGCCTGTAATCCCAGCTACTTGGCAGGCTGAGGCAAAAGAATCGCTTGAACCGGGGAGTTGGAGGTCGCAATGAGCCGAGATGGTGCCACTGCAATCCAGCCTGGTGACAGAGCAAGACTCTGTCTCAAAAAAAAAAGAAACAAGTTAATGAAACAAAATTTTCTGAGATCATTTGGTAAAGGTGTCAGATTGGTGCAGCGTAATCCAGTGATTGATGTAGGTAATTTTGAAACCTGAGTCAGCAAGAAATAGCAATTATATTTAATGTAATATGATGAAGGAGGCAGAAAACTGCAATAACTTAGAATGATTTCCACTAAAGATACTTAAAATAAAATGAGTTTTAGTGCTTATAGCAAGGAAAACTCCATTTATGTTTAACATCTACTTCTTTTAAAAATGTATACGATATAGGGGGAAGATGGTAACAGTTAGAACACCCAAATTCTGGTCTGGTAATTGACACTAAATTAGTGAGTGACTTTGAGTGAGTAAGCCATATGATATCTTTGACTCTTAGTATAATGCAGTGGCTAGGAACAGGGGCTATAGGCTCAAATCTCATTCTATTCCATTACTTTCAAGCTCCATAGCCTTCTGTTACTTTAATTGCTCTAAGCCTCACTTTCCTCCTTTGAAAATGGAAAGAATAATACCTTCCTCATAGGATTACTGTGACAAACAGAAGGCACAACACTTACAAAACACTCAGCATAGAATATGACACATAGGAAGAGCTCAAACAGCTGTTGTTGTTGTTGTCGTAATATAAGTAGTTACAGTGAGGGAGATAGATCACATGCTCTCCGAGGTCTTCTCAAATTCTAAAATTCTGTGGTTCTATGAACAACTCGCTCCCAAATGATGTCAGATAAATGAGATCTCACTGTATACTGGGCAATAAAATCAATGTGGTCAATTTTAAATCGTACCCTGTAAGGTAAGGTTGAGCAGGTCATGAATTATTCAAAACTTTGGTTACACTCAATATATTTCTATTTGATCATGGAATGCATAGAACTATTTAAAAGAGCATTTTTAACCTTCTCATATTATGTTTAATGATTAAAATGAGTTTGATCTTTCCGTGTTCACTAAGGGAAAAGAAATGGAGCAATGCTGGATAGTTTATATATGTGCCCCACTTAATCATTAGCGATTTAGGTGAAATCATCGAGCAACTTTTTGGGTAATAAAAAATGCAAGCAGGATATACAGTTTTGGCCCAGATAACAGACATGCCTATAAATGAGAGCCAGTGGCACATCATCTCCTTATGAAGCTTTTTCAGAATTTCAGGTAGTTCAGGTCCATATGTGCTTTGAAATTCTAAGGGTGAGAAGATGACTATCACGTGTTTTTCCAATTATATCTTAATTTTCAAAATAGGCTTATTGCAGCATTGATGTCTAATTAGAGTTGCCGGACACAGTGGCTACAGTCCAATGCTATAATAATCTAATTAACTAAACTCTCCACTTATCATGTAAGTGCCTCCTCACCTACCACACACTTCACCATTTAAAGTGATATCCTTTTCCTTTCTTCTTTTTTAAATGAAGAATTTGTTCAGGGAGACATTTGGATTGTTCAGTGGTAAAAAAAAAAAAGCTCCAAAAAAAAAGCAAATAAGAAAGTAAGAGTTTGTACTGGACAGCAGAAGTGACATCACCTGGGCAGGCAGAGCACCTGTTGAAATCCAAGACTTCATTTACGGACTAGCTGTGTGACTTTGGCAAATTACTAAATCTCCCTGAGACTTAGCATCTTTATTTGCAAGCTGGGAATAATCGGAGGAAGTTAACTGAGAAGCTATTGGGACTTAAGCTTCAGGGCCTTTTATTTGTGTAGGGCATATATGTTCACATAGTCATATGCTTATGTTAAGTTTACAATGTTAAGATACCTTAACTGTGACTAGCTAAGAGCTCTGTCTCTTTCAGTATGACTTTCTTCCATCACATGGTGAAGATCTTTGGAGAAACCTTGAACAGGTTTGGTGTCATGCTAAGGGAAAGTTGAGATCCATAAATTTGTGTTTAGTGACAATATTTATGTGCTCTGAAGTTATTTCTCTATATTGTCACATATTGCTAGGCATCTAGTGTAGGAATAATTTTCAAGTGCACTCCCAGTGCCCATGTTCAGACCTACATATGTATTTGTATTTAAATATTTCAATCTTTTCTTAAAGAGAGATTCCAAAATGACATTAAATTCAAGCTCCAGAAAACCTAGATTTTCCTTTGGGGATAATGATATGCTGAGACCAGCTCAGCTGGGGAGACCCTAACCCAGCAGTGCTAGAGGAATTAAAGACACACACACAGAAATATAGAGGTGTGAAGTGGGAAATCAGGGGTCTCACAGCCTTCAGAGCTGAGAGCCCCGAACAGGGATTTACCCACATATTTATTAACAGCAAACCAGTCATTAGCATTGTTTCTATAGATATTAAATTAACTAAAAGTATCCCTCATGGGAAACAAAGGGATGGGTTGAATTAAAGGAATAGGATGGGCTAGTTAACTGCAGCAGGAACTTATCCTTAAGGCACAGATAGCTCATGCTATTGTTTGTGACTTAAGAATGCCTTTAAGCGGTTTTCTGCCCTGGGCGGGCTAAGTGTTCCTTGCCTTCATTCTGGTAAACCCACAACCTTCCAGCATGGGTGTTAGGGCCATTATGAACATGTTACAGTGCTGCAGAGATTTTATTTATGGCCAGTTTTGGGGCCAGTTTATGGCCAGATTTTGAGGGGCCTGCTCCCAAAAATGACACCTACCTTATACTATTTCTATGAAGATTAATGTGAAAGTTTTTTCCTACTTTCCTTTGTTTGTTCTGTTTTGCATTCTCATTCTTATTCTGAACAACTCTATAATAAGGACATGAAGATTATCTAATTCAGAGTTTTTATGTTTTATTCCCAAGCACTTCTACCCCCTCAAATAAAACCATAGGCGTGATCTTGATGCATGTAATAAGCCAGTAATTGACAGAATTTATATGAAGCTTAACCCTCACTGTTTGGGTATATCCATCTCTCATTTCTGTAAATCTCCAAAGAACCATGGCGAGCCTCAGGATTCCATACGCTCCATTTGAAAACCCATGATTTAACTCAATTCCCTCTTTTTATAATGGAAACTAATTTCAGAGAGGCTAAGTAACCTCTTGTCTTCCCATTCTATGTTCAATTCACCATATCTTTTCTGTAGGTTTATGATAGCAAACAATTGTTATTATTTATTAGTTTTAAACACAAAGCTACCTGTTTTAAACAAAACAATTTATAAATATTCTTCATGTCATGGAATATTTATTCTAGAGGGATTAAATCTTTAAATATAAGTGTTTCCAAACTGGAAGAAAATACAGAAGACTACATGTACAAATGAGGCTTTGAGGTAACCTATTACCAAAGCCATCAGAGATCTGTAAAAATCTGAAACTTTTGTGTGTAAATGTACAACATATAATGTTGTTCTCCACATACTAAATTGGCAAATTATGTTTGCAACAGTTATGGCACATACAAACTGCTCTTAGAAATATAAATTATGCAAAGAATGATGACTCAGAAGCCCACAGAAGAGCACATTTCAATGGCCCCAGACTTCCAAAAAAAAATTTCAGGCTCCTGGTAATGAGAGAAATGCAAATTAAGTAGCAATGAAGCTCTCACTTCACATCCATCAGAGTGGCAAAAAATTAAAAGTGATAATAACTACTGTTGGTGGGGATGAGTTAAAAGGGTACTTTCATTTATTTCTGGCAAAAATGAAAATTGTTATAGGCTTTCAGAAAACAATTTTGAAATATCTATTCCAATAAAAAAAAAATGCAAGTCCTCTTTCCAGGGCCACAGCATGACTTTCATGGGCCCTAGAAACTTGTGCCTGTGTTGTCTTCTTTCTCTATTAATATTATATATATATGTGATAAGATTTGGCTGTGTGCCCACCCAAATCTCATCTTGAATTGTAACTCCCATAATTCCCATGTGTTGTGGGAGGGACCTGGTGGGAGACAATTGAATCATGGGGGCAGTTCCCCCATACTGTTCTCGTGGTAGTGAATAAGTCTCACGAGATCTGATGGTTTTATAAGGGGTGTCCGGTTTTGCTTGGCTCTCATTCTCTCTTGCCTGCCACCATGTAAGATGTCTCTTTGCTCTTCCTTTATCTTTCCCCATGATTGTGAGCCTCCCTAGCCATGTGGAACTGTGAGTCCATTAAACCTCTTTCCTTTATAAATTACTCAGTCTCGAGTTTGTCTTTATTAGCAGCATGAGAATGAACTGATAATACACACACACACATACACGTACTCATAGACATATATATGTATGTATACATATACAGACAGAAAATATATTTTATGATTGTGTTGGTGTAAAGAGGAATATAAGTCAAACTGAATTTATTATTACTGGATTTACTTTTTCTTAAATTTTTAAGATAAAAATATTCCCTGAATCCCTAACATCTTGTGGGCCCTGGGCACGATGCCTTTTGTGCTCAACAATACAAGCCCTAACTCCTCACTCAGAAATTTGTCTACTGAAACCAGAACTTTAGTGATGTTTACTTTCAGCATTTTGGTAGTAGCAAAAACTAGACACAAAGTGAAAACCTTCAGTGGGCAATAATTGAGTAAATTTGGTTAGTATGATACCATTTTAGAAAAAAAATGTAAGCCAACACAACTGTGTGTATGTGAGTTGTCTGTGTTAGTTATCTATTGCAATCTAACAAGCCTCCCTAAAAATTAAGTGCTTAAAACAACAATCACTTTATTTACCCATGATTCGAATAGGTTATCAGTCTGAGATAGGCTCTTCTGAATAATTCTTTGCTAGTCTTCCATAGGGTAATTCATGCAGCTGTAGTCAAATGACAGCTTGCCTGGGGCTGGGCAGTCTGTGATGTCCATGTCCTTCCACACAAGTCTGATGGTTAGTCTGTTCCTCAGCTGGGCCATATGCTGCCAGCAAGCCAGCCCAGCTTTCTTCACATAGGTTTGAAAAGCAACTTTTAAAACCTAAGGTTGCATCACTGATATGATTTGACTGTGTCCCCACCCAAATCTCACCTTAAATTGTAGCTCCCATAATTCCCACGTGTTGTAGAGGGACCCAGTGGGAAATAATTGAATCATGGGAGACAATTTCCCCTATACTATTCTCGTGGTAGTGAATAAGTCTCCAAGATCTGATGGTTTTATAAGGGGTTTCCCCTTTCACTTGGGTCTCATTCTCTCTTGCCTGCCGCCATGTAAGATGTGACTTTCACCTTCCGCCATGATTGTGAAGCCTCCCCAGCCATGTGGAACAGTGAGTCAATTAAACCTCCTTCTTTTATAAATTACCCAGTCTCAGGTATATCTTTATTAACATCATGAGAACAGACTAATCAAATCACATTTGCTAATGTCTCTTTAATCAAAACAAGCCATATGATCAGACCCAGAATCATGGTGGGAGGGCCCTGACAAGAGCACAGATGAGAGGAGGTATGATTCATTAAAGAACACTACTGTAAAATTCTGTCAATGTGTGCAATTGCATATTTATGTACACATTATCATGTTGGTATGGTAAAGATCAGCAGGAAAAAAAGAAAATGGAACTATTAATAATTTTATTCAGATAGAGTGAAGTTACTTACTGTTTAATAACAGTTTATATTACTTATATATTAATTCATTAAAAGCTGTTTATCAAGTGCCTACTCTATGCTAGATGAGTGCTGAGTATAGAACAATCTTCTGGAAAAGTGAACATCAAGGGACATGCCCACAACTAAGACCGTTTACTTAGTTATTGTAACACCATCTTTTGAGGATTAAAAAAAGTAGATATGTACTTGTGCATCATAATTTCTTAGCCTAGGACAAATGCTTTATTACAGTTAAATACTCAATATGATTTGTGTGACCCCTTGGAGCTTGGGTGAAGCCAGTGTACAGGGAAAGGAGAAAAGCCAATACAACAGTGCATTGTCAAGTTGACTGTGGTCAGTTGAGTCAGGTTTTCAGTCCCAGGGCAGCTCCCTGAGGAAACCTCTGAAACACATCGCAGATCTTTCTGCCCAGGAGTACACATGGATGAAACTGATTCTCATCCCCTTTGTTCGAGTGACTCCAAGGGCATTGACTTTACCAGATTTTTGGCATATGCATGCATGAGGCCACATCAATTTCTGAGACTAACCCTGCTCTGCAGTATCAATGAAACCCTCAGGGCAAGAAGCAAGAGGAACAGGGCAGATGCTGTATCTGTGATTAGCTAATCAAAACCTAGGAGACATTGGTTACCACAGCAGTGGCTGCAGTAAGAGGTGGGGCCAAAAGGATATAAATTAGTATACAAGAAGTGTCTGATACAGCCCACCCCTTGCAGAACTGAGACTTGCTCATGTCTTCTCTCAAGTCTAATCTGTCATAAAGTCATCTTCAATCTCTGCAAAGTTTCAATACAAAAGATTGGCAGAATAAGTGATAATCCCTGTATTACAGCTGAATCCAAGGCAATAATTGATATTATTTATCCTTTCCTTCAACTCATCCTAAGCCAGTATTTCAGCTGGTTGCTTGACTGATGCAGTGACCCAGACTTTCATCTCCTGGAGATCTAGGTCCTTAGTTACCTTGCTCTTCACCAGCCACTAATGCTGCGGTTGCTTAATCACCATTAACACTGAGCACAGAAGCAGCAACAGGTATTACATTCAATCCCCTGGGCTCCAGACATTCTTCTCCCTGCCTGCTAGGGGGCAGCAGCGCTGTCTCCTCAGCTCATTCAGATAAGCTACCTTTGCCAGAACAGTAGTAACTCCTTTCTTTGCTTGATGGTCCACTGGCATGAGGAGCTTTGTTTTTGTTTTTATTTTTGTTTTTTTGTTTTGTCTTTATTTCTTCTAAACACACACACACACACACACAACAACAACGGGATACATGTGCAGAACATGCAGGTTTGTTACATAGGTCTACGTGTGCCATGGTGGTTTGCTGTACCTATTGACCTATCCTCTAAGTTCCCTCCCTGCACCCCACACACCCCAACAGGCCCTGGTGTGTGTTGTTCCCCTCTCCGTGTCCATGTGTTCTCAATATTCAACTCTCACTTATGAGTGAGAACATGCGGTGTTGGGTTTTCTTTTCCTGTGTTAGTTTGCTAAGGATGATGGCTTCCAGCTTCATCTATGTCCCTGAAAAGGACATAATCTCATTCCTTTTTATGGCTGTGTAGTATTCCATGGTGTATAGTGCCACATTTTCTTTATCCAGTCTATCACTGATGGGCATTTTGGTTGGTTCTATGTCTTTGCTATTGTAAATAGTGCTGCAGTAAACATGTGTGCATGTGTCTTTATAATAGAATGATTTATAATACTTTGGGTATGTACCCAGTAATGGGACTGCTGAGTCAAATGGTGTTTCTGGTTCTAGATCCTTGAGGAATTGCCACACTGTCTTCCACAAGGGTTGAACTAATTTTCATTCCTACCAACAGTGTGAAAGTGTTCCTATTTCTCCACAGCCTCACCAGCATCTATTGTTTTCTGACTTTTTAATAATCGCCATTCTGACTGGTGTGAGATGGTGTCTCATTGTGGTTTAGATTTGCATTTCTCTGACGATCAGTGAATTTGAGCTTTTTTTCATATGTTTGTTGGGAGCCTAAATGTCTTCTTTTGAAAAGTGTCTGTTCATATTATTTGCCCACTTTTTGATGGGGTTGTTTGATTTTTTCTTATAAATATGTTTAAGTTCCTTGTAAATTCTGGATATTAGACCTTTGTCAGATGGGTAGATTCCAAAAATTTTCTCCCATTCTGTAGGTTGCCTGTTCACTCTGATGATAGTTCCTTTTGCTGTGCAGACGCTCTTCAGTTTAATTAGATCCCATTTGTCAACTTTGGCTTTTGTTGCAATTGCTTTTGACATTTTTGTCATGAAGTCTCTGCCCATGCCTATGTCCTGAATGGTATTGCATAGGTTTTCTTCTAGGGTTTTTATGATTTTGGGTTTTAAATTTAAGTCTTTAGTCCATCTTGAGATAATTCTGTATAAGGTGTAAGGAAGGGGTCCAGTTTCAGTTTTCTGCATATGGCTAGCCAATTTTCCCAGGACCATTTACTGAATAGGAGATCGTTTCCCCATTGCTTGTTTTTGTCGCATTTGTCAAAGAGCAGATGCTTGTAGATGTATGGTGTTATTTCTGAGGTCTCTGTTCTGTTCCATTGGTCTATATGTCTGTTTCGGTACCAGTACATGCTCTTTTGGTTACTGTAGCCTTGTAGTATAGTTTGAAGTCAGATAGCATGATGCCTCCACCTTTGTTCTTTTTACTTAGGATTGTCTTGGCTATTTGGGGTCTTCTTTGATTCCATATGAAATTTTAAACATTTATAATTCTGTGAAGAATGTCAATGGTAGTTTGATGGGAATAGTATTGAATCTATAAATTACTTTGGGCAGTATGGCCATTTTCATGATAATGATTCTTCCTCTCCGTGAGGATGAAATGTTTTTCCATTTGTTGATGTCCTGTCTTATTTTCTTGAGCAATGGTTTGTAGTTCTCCTTGAAGAGGTCCTTCACGTCCCTTGTAAGTTGTATTCCTAGGTTTTTATTCTCTTTGTAGTAATTGTGAGTGGGAGTTCATTCATGATTTGGCTCTCTGCTTACCTATTGTTGGTGTAAAGGAATTCTTGTGATTTTTGCACATTGATTTTGTATCCTGAGATTTTGCTGAAGTTGCTTATCAGTTCAAGATGTTTTGGGGCTGAGATGATGGGGTTTTCTAAATATAAAATCATGTCATCTGCAAACAGAGACAACTGGACTTCTAACCTGCGGAGCTTTAAGTGACCAGGTCACAGCCATTCTTTGAAGTAAAGGGGAACCCATATACTTGACAGATATGGTAAGACCAATGCCTCCCATGGCAAATCCTGCTGAGGTCTATAAAAAGTAGTCACCACAGCAGTTCTGGTATAAGGGATGAGTCAAGGGATTTGAAGCAGTGGGCTCGATGTGTCTGATATAGTAATATGTAATCTACATAGAGGAGTTAATTATCCACACCATGTCTTCTTTTCTTCCCCCATTTCTTATCACATACACCCTGGAATCAGAGCTATTTATTTAAATAACACACGCATTATATTTGAATTATTTGGTTGCACATGCTGTATAAAGCAATACATTATTTTTATTAGAATGTCAATGATCATATAATTGTTTGATAAAAATTTTTCTTTTATGGAAATTTTCTCTGAGGGGGGAATATCACAATTTTCATAGAAGGATTTAGAAGTTGCACTATATAATGAGAAATGAGTACTGCAGATCCTTAGCAAATATGACTTTATTCTTCCACTTTTAACAACATAAATGCCTTGGAAAAAATCACTCAATTTGATCATGATTGAAATTCCCGGTGGAAAAATATATTTGGGATTTGTTAATTATTTTTCAGTGGGGTTCTCTTTTTTGAGAGAGCTGAGTGATATGGTTTGACTGTGTCCCCACCCAAATCTCACCTTAAATTGTAATAATCCCCATATGTCAAGGGCAGGGCCAGGTGGAAATGATTGAATCATGGGGTGGTTTCCACCATGCTGTTCTTGTGGTAGTGAATAAGTCTCATGAGATCTGATTGTTTTATAAATAGGAGTTCCCCTGCACAATCTCTCTTGCCTGCCACCATGTAAGATATGCCTTTGCTCTTCCTTCATCTTCCACCATGATTGTGAGGCCTCCCCAGCTATGTGGAACTGGGAGTCCATTAAACTATTTCCTTTATAAATTACCCAGTCTCATATGTCTTTATTAGCAGCATGAGAATGGACTAAATACACTGAGCATGAGTGGAAGAAAGTCTCAAACTGAAGTGAAGAAAAAGGGAAGGGGCTGATGTGGGGAGAGGAGCAGTCCCTCAGCAGCAATGTCAAGTTCATTTGCTTTGCCTCTGGCCACTGAGGAAAGACAATGCCAGGCAACTGTAGAGCTGGGCCAGCACCTTCTGAAACGATCTTGTTCCCCAAATAACCACAACAGATATTATATAGCAGGTAAACTAACAAGTAAAGGCAGAAGTGAAAAAAATTGTTCTGTGAAAATATATGTACTATATGTACATATAGATATAGTATATACGTTTGTGTGTGTACTTAAACCACAATGCTGTAAGAAATCATAAATTTATCTGAAAATACTGGGTAAGGAGATAGTATCCATAAAAAATACTATTCCCATAGAATTTAAATATTCAGTGAGCTTTCACTGACTAACTTGCATACACCAGGCACTGTGCTATCAGGTATGGATGTAGCAAAAATTATGATATGGTTCTTATGTGCATTAAGGTAAACATTATCCAGAAATATGTAGGCTTTCTTGTTTTCTTAAATTAGAAGACAAACAGTATAGGTTTCTCCTGTTAGCTCAGGTATATCATTATCAGGTTCAACTATTCTAGCAGGTGGTAATAAATTGTTTTTCTTCTCATGCTGTCTGCTGTAAATAGGATCAATAAAGTCAGAATAAAGATCACAAAAACTTTCATTACAGTGCGAATAGTTTAATGCAGCAGTTTCTATGTGCCTAGATTTTGGCAGATGCTTTAAGATTCTGGAATATTTGAAAATATTATTACTTCTCTGGTCCTTGATTGTGTAAGGAATGCTGAAGTTATTGACTCCTTAATCTCTACTGAAGGGGCTTACTTTGAAGACTAGCAATTTCATTATTTGATTCTGATTCTGAGATGACTTTAACAGAATCTCAAGCAATGTAAGCCACATTTAGCAATCATAGCAATAGTCTGATATTTTTGAAACCTGTCCTATTATAAAACAAGCCTACATTTATATAATCCTCATATCTCAAAAGAAGTTGGAGAAAGCCACTGCCTGGGAAGTTCCTTATCCTGAACCTAAATCAGATGCTAATATCTTGTTGCTGCATTGGTTTTAACAGTAGACTCTCAAGGATGCTAATATCTTGTTGCTGTTTCGGTTTGAAAAAAGACTCTCAACTTGTATTCATCGATGGGTGTTCTCTATTTCTTAACAGGATTATCTATATTTGAATCTTCTTTTAACTCTGACTGAAGAGCTCTGAAATCACCAATAATGTCTTCATTACTACATCAATACTTAAATAATGGACAAGAAATTATAAAGGCTTAGCAAAGACATTCAGATTATTATGGCCTTTTGAAATATGCACCATAAACTATTAACTTAGAGTGCTTGGCCAAAGTAAAACTTGAATATCCCATCAAATTCCTCATTTTTATGAGAAAATTTATACTCAGAAAATTTAAGTGGCAAATAATCCAAGTCATATGGACTGTAAGTTACAGAACCAAGTCACAAAAAGGAGTTCTGATTCTTGATCTAAAAGTCTTCCCACTGTGTCCTTCTATGGCCTTCAGTTTTGGGCGGTGTATTTTGTTTGTTTTTTATTTGAGTTATATGCGAGTTTAAACACAATTCTTTCTGCTATGGGAAACGGCCTGTTTCATTTTCAAATTTTGAAGCTCACATTTTTTAATGGTTTATTTTTTCATTAAATTTAAAAGGCTTTATTTAACAATTAAAAATCAGTCCTATTGCCTCATTCATTGAATTCCATAAATTACAGTAAAACATTTTAAAGCTGTAAATTAGTATACAAACGTAGCTATCTTTTTATTATTTGAATCATAGAATGACTTTAAATGACTAAAGTTTGCATTTAGAATTAACACTTTTTAATTTAAAAATCTGATTTTTCATTTAACTGTGATTTGTTTAGCTAAAAACAAATGGAGAATTTGAATTTCTTTACTCCATTTTACTTTCCTCAACACACACACACACACACACACACACACACACACACAGAGATATAAATAAGAAAAATCTACACTTCCAAGAGTCATTTCCTTAGTGAATCACATCCCTCACTTTTCTCCACACTGTCCTTCAACAATGAGAATAAAATACGCCTTCTTCCTCCATAATATCAGTAGAAACAATTCAGCACAATGTTTAAACAAGTGTTAGGACCCTGTAGCCAGAATTCCTGTGTTCAAATCCTGGCTCTGCCTTTTTCTAGGTGAGCAATCCTAGACAAGTTAACTATTAAATAATTGCTTTGAGCAGATGGCAGTGACAGAGCCCTTGAAGAATAGCTCTCTCTCCAGGCCAGCAGAAGAAAAATGACAGTGCAAGACACAGGATAGGACAGTCAAGAGGCAAAAAGAAATACAAGCTAAGGGCACAGAAATGAAGAGAAGAATGTTTCCATGAGGAGTCAGCCAACAATGACAATGTCTACTAAACTCCTAGAGAATGAGAACGTAGTGAAAGCCCAGGGTAGGTATCAGTGACATTCTTGAAGGTGAGACAGCAGTGATAACATTCTGACTTGAGGGGCTAAGGTGTAAGTGGTGAAGAAGCAGGAGTTCCCCTAGATTGGACAGGGAAACGGGACTAGCATGTAGCACGTGTCTACCTGCCCTTGAATCTAAGATCGCAGAGACCAGTGCAGATGAATAGAGAAGATGCAGCCAATGGAAAAAAGAGAGGAGGTAAATGGAGAAAACCATTAAATGATCTCAGGACAAGCATGGAATCACATGGTTCTGGGGAGGAAGTGTAAGGAAAGTCCTTCTCTTGTCTTCCTTGCAACCTCCTATTCATCCTATAAGACTTAGCATAAAACCACTTCACAAATAAAGTATTTCCAAACTGTCCTAAATCAACTTATCCAGTTTATTTTTCTAAAGTCTCTGAGTACTTTGTTTTATAATCTTTTATAACATCTAACAAATTATATATATTATTTAGTTAACATGCCTGCCCCATGTATTACATAGCAAATTCCCCAGAGCTAGGATTTATGACTTTTTTACTTTTTTCTTCCTAGGGCAAGGTATAGTGTTAGATACTACTACCACATTAGTAGGTGTTCCTAAAATAATTAGCAATAAGAAAGGGGCTGAGGTGGTGGTTTGCGCCTGTAATCCCAGCACTTTGGGAGGGCCAAGGTCAGGTGTAAGAGACCAGTCTGGCCAACATGGTGAAACCCTGTCTCTACTAAAAGCACAAAAATTAGCCAGGCATGCTGGCGCGTGCCTGTAATCCCAGCTACCAAGGCAGGAGAATCGCTTGAACCCGGGAGGTGGAGGTTTCAGTGAGCCGAGATCGCGTCATTGCACTCCAGCCTAGGCGACGAGCAAAACTCTATCTCAAAAGAAAAGAAAAAAAAGGAAATGAGAGAGAGAAGGTTAGAGATGGGAATGGAGACTCAGGAGATGCAGCAACATAAGCAACCTCTATAGGATCTGAGCAAGATGAACTGGATGCTAAGCTTCTTCGTCCAGACCCATTAAATTGAGGAAGCGTGTTTGTAGCATGCCTGTTGGATTTTGTAGGCTTTCTCTCCTTCTTAGAGTTTTCTATAACCTAATAGTAACCCTGAATAAAATACAAGTAGAGTTGTTTAGGTTTAGTCATGTAATACAGGAAAATTTGATATATTGTGGAGTGCAGGTCAAAGAATACCAAGAATGGATATTGAAGTCTCCAGGAAATATGGCAATCACAGTGATACAGGGGCAAAGAGTCCTGGTTTTGTGACTGGCATTGCAATAGTATGGATTATTTTTTTTTTTCTTTGAAACAGTGCCTTGAAGCCAATTTATAGAGGGATTTGGGAAGGATCAAACAAAAGAAAAAATGGGCTGGGTATGGGGAAGGGAGAGAGTAGAAATGAAATAATAAATGTAGATATACTCTGGCTTTCAGAAACTTTTTGAAGGACTTATCAAGTAAAAGAACTACAAGCTATTGTAATTTCAACAAGAAATTGAAACTTTGTCTTTTTTAAAAAAATCCTAATTTCCTCCCTCCCCTTGAGGCTTGGACAGGTAAATAAACCCATTAGGGGGCTATAATGAATAACATCTCATACAGAAATTATATGCAGGGAAAGATCATGACACAATATTAGCATACAGAATATCTGTTTTTAAATCCACATTCTCTCTACCATCTTCATTTGCTGTGTGCTGATAATGAGACAATGGTTCCTAAGGGAAATAATGTAGTTTACTCAGGGTATTCATTCAAGCTCTAAAAAAAAAAAATCCAAACAGACAGAGAACATATGAGGTTAATATTCAAGTGTTAATGAGGACTTAGGTATTGTGAAGCTTATATTGTACTAATTAAAAATAATTGCATGGTCCTAGAATTAGAGAGCTTTCACTGAGGAGGGTCTCAAGGTCATTGCCGCCTCTCTGGATTTCCAACTTGGCTGTGCACAAACCTCAGTGGTTACCTTAACAGGAATAATTAGGTTCTGGGCAAACACATTCCTGCAACCAAATTCACTAGAGTCTGTTGAGATAAAAAAGTCAGTTTCATGGTTTCTAATGAGAATTACCTCTTTCCAATATAGAAACTTATTTTTGAAAGCAAGATTAGGATCAGAAGGTGGTTTCATGGTTAAAAAGGGAGCAGAATAAGGAGGGCCCCAGAGACCATCCTACACTGAACAATACCAACCCAGATAAGCCCCATATAAACTATATCGCCGCTATGCCTACGTTTTACATGAAAAGGCTTCTTTATCCATTCAAGGGTAGAAATTCCCAGAAAACCAATCCCTCATTTTAGCATCTTATAACCTGGTCCCTACAGCAAGTATGTACAAGTATATAGTAAGCATGTGATCGCCTCCAGTATAAAAGAGCAGAAAGGTGAGGGCATTCATAAGCGATTGATGGATACGCAAAATGTTATATTACAGCATTTCTTATCAAAATTAGATTTAAAATTATTTCATGCTTTTTCCCAGTTTCATATCAAATCATTAAAAGTGAATATTTTTCCCTCTTCTGTACAGTCAGGAAGACTGCTTATGATGTTCCAAAGATAACCTTTATGTATGTGCTCAGCTTTGACTTATGAGTAAGTTTCTCACATGGGTTAATACCCGGCCACTTCTAGTGATCCTCATGCTTTTCAAGGTCACAACAGGAAGGATGTATATTTCAAGTTTAATTGTTTCTCTCAAAGCACGAGGAGTAGACAGGTGTGGAGAGAGTCTTCCTCAGCTCATCAGCGTCATGGAACTCTAGCTCTTCTCCTAGGGAATAGGGCCTCCTTCATGTTTCTCCCCCTACCCTATCCATTCTTTAATCGATGCTTTATTTCCCAGCAATTCATGCCTGTTACTTGTCTTTACTCTTAAACCTTTTGCTTTTCTCTTTCTGCCAGCATTTTGGCAATCCTGTATAGGCCTGCGGCCACGTCTGCATGTAAGCAGAGAGCAGAATTTCTGCTTTAACAGAATTTCTCTGTCACATCGTCTGCTTGGGCCATGGTGTTTCGTATTCTACTGGTAGACATAACCTTCAAGGCTATGTGGACCTTTAAAGTCAGTATGAAAATTTGACTTCATTCTTCCGTCTTTCTTTATTATTCTGCTTAATATACCTTGTGTTCATCCACAACACTGGAAGCACATTAGTTGCTTAATAAAAGTTATTCTTTAAATAGAGTCATCATTTTTATATAGTTGTGATATTATTTCCATACATTATTTATATAAAATCATATTATTTTATATAGTTTTTATATATCTGTGATAAAAATAATGCTCCCCACCAGAGGTTCATGTCCTAATTCATGGAACCAGTGAATATGTAACTTTATATGGCAAAGGGACTTTGTGCTTGTTAAGAGCCTTGATTTGAGGAGATTATCCTGGATTATCTGGGTGGCTTTGTGTAATGACAGAGCTCCTTAAAATAGTCAGAGAAAGAGACTATGAAAGCAGAGAGTTGCAGTGATGCAGCAGGAGGGAAATTCCACCTAATTCCTAGCTTTGAAGATGGGGGACTGAGATGATGAGCCCAGGAATGTGTGTGGCCTCTATAATCTGGAAAAGGCAAGTATATAGATTTCCCCCCTAGAATTTGCAGGAGAAACACAGTGCTACCAACACTTTGAATTTAGCCCAGTGAACCCCATTTCAAACTTCTAACCAGAACTGTATCATTATTATTAACAGAATCATCATCTCCAGAACTGTAAGATAAATTGGTGTTGTTTTAAGTCACTAAGTGTCTGTCATTTGTTAGAGCAGCAAGAGGAAACTCATACAATAGTACTTCATCATTTTCCATGATAGGTAATACACAGACAACATTCATTCATTGTTTAATGAAAATGAATAAGACATTTAGTGGCTGGGCACAGTGGCTCACACCTGTAATCCCAGCACTTTGGGAGGCTGAGGCAGGCGGGGGTCGGGAGGCTGAGGCAGGCGGGGGTCAGGATTTTGAGACCAGCTTGGCCAACATGGTGAAACCCCATCTCTACTGAAAATACAAAAATTAGCCAGACATGTTGGCAGGCACCTGTAATCCCAGCTGCTTGGGAAGCTAACGCAAGAGGATCGCTTGAACCCGGGAGGCAAAGATTGCAGTGAGCCGAGATTGCACCACTGCACTCCAGCCTGGGCAACAGAGCCAGACTCCATCTCAAAAGAAAAAAAAAAGACATTTAGGACTTGTCACTGTCTAAATTTTTGCATGCTATGAAATTCAATCTGATATGTTCAGTAGTAATATTTCTGAATAGCTGATATTATGAATATATAGCATGAGAACTTTTACTTGGGACTTGGAGTTGCAACAGAGAAAAATTACTTTACAAATAAATCAATAGACTTGATGAGTCTATTTATTTTGCCATCAACCCAATTACCTTTCTGTTCTTCAGCAGTCTACTGGCAAAACTCAATTATCGACAATGGTTCAGACCCTTCTGTTTCTTCAGTGGCTGCTGCCTTAGCTCCTGTGTTCTGTCATCTCCTAGGGCTTAATGTGCAAAAATTGTGCAACCCAGCTAGGACTCCACTGGGTGCAGAGCTAACTGGCTGAGGCATGCAGGGTAAATACTGTCATTAGCTCATTCTCTGCATAAAAAAATGAAATATACTCAATAACTTCTAGTTTTTGAAGTATCTGATTTTATTTAATCTTCACAACAACTTGGTGAAGAAGGTATTACTATTAGGTTGCTACAAAAGTATTTGCAGTTTTTGCCATGACTTTTCATAGCAAAGCCGCAATTACTTTTGCACCAACTTAATACCTCAATTTTACAGTTGAAAAAACCACGTTAGGGAGAGTATCCAGGCGGTAAATGACAGAAAGGAGATATGATCTAAAATTTCTTAATTCTTTATTCAGATGATAAAACTAATGTGACTTTGCTCTATCACAGCTATTCTTGTCATTTTACTGCAGTGTCAAAATTCTAGATACATATTTTTAAATGTATTTTAAAGACAAAATAACATAACATATGCACATTATAAAGTGATGTAGGAAATTTAAAAATCTGTGAACAGTTTTAAATCACCCACAATATTACTGCTGAAAAATAACACCTCTTACTATTTTTATGTATTTATAAACATTTTTCTGTGTATTTATATATTTCTTTTGACATTATGGTTTTGCATCCCATTCCATTTTATCATATTTCCAGTGAAGTGAGGTGGCATTCTAACCTTATCATATGTACAATTTTACTGTATTGTCTTTCAGTAACCTACTTTTGCTGGATATTTAAATATAAATAAAAATTAGTCTACCTTGAATTTACCTTTTTTCAGGATGAAATCTATGCTTCTCCAAATGCAGTCTGAGGACAGTAGTGCCAGCGTCATTTGGGAGCTTGTCATAACTGCAAATTCTCTACTGAGTCCAAGTCTTTGGGGTGAAATCCAGGAATTTCTGTTTTAATAAGCTCTCCAGGTGTTTCACACATGCAGAATTTTGGACTGAAGTGTTTGGTTTTCTGTAAGCGTTGATGAGGCAAAGCAGCTTAGGCCTATTGTAGGTGAAAGGCAAGCACAATAATTGTTATACTTTGAAGAAAAAGAAAACTTTTTTCCTTCGTTCGTTCTTTCCTTCCTTCCTTCCTTCCTTCCTTCCTTCCTTCCTTCCTTCCTTTCTTCCTTCCTTTCTTTGAGATGGAGTCTTACTCTGTCACCCAGGCTGGAGTGCGGTGGCACAATCTTATCTCACTGCATCCTTCGCCTCCTGGGTTCAAGCGATTCTCCTGCCTTAGCCTCCTGAATAGCTGGGACAACAGGCATGTGCCACCATGCCCAGCTAATTTTTGTATTTTTAGAAAAGACCAGGTTTCACCATGTTGGCCAGGATGCTCTTAATCTCTTGACCTTCAGCCCACGTTGGCCTCCCAAAGTGCTGGGATTACAGGCGTGAGCCACCATGCCCGGCCTAATATTTTTTAAAAATGTCTGTAGAGATGGGGTCTCACAATGTTGCCCAGGCTGGTCTCCAACTCCTGGCTCCAAGCATTCCTCCCACCTAAGTCTCCCAAAGTGTTGGGATTACAGGCATGAGCCACCGTGCCCGGCCTAATTGTTAACTCTGACTGAGAACTTTTGTAGATTGAGAAAGTGGCTGGTAGTATATTGTAGATAAAGGCCACACCAGAAAGGGTGAGTGTGAGGTAAGCGAGCTCCTGTGGGGAATTTGCCTGACCAGAGCACAACATTCACATTGGCAAGCAGCTGAAGCCAAGAAAGACCTGTTAGGATAACCCAAGTTCTTGTACACATAGATGAAGATCTGTGATATAATTTATAGATATTGAGGAAACATTACACATTATTTAACATAAAAGTGATGTTTCATAACTAGAAGAACATTGGTTAAAAAGCACACTTTAGTGAGAAGTGAGGAGATATTTGGGTAGAACAACCAATGAATAAGGTGAGTGTTGTAAACAAGATACCAAATGAAAGACAATGATAAGGAGTTTTGGCAGAAGAAAAAGACAATGATTTATTACTAAATATTATAATGGAAAAGAAGGGGAATGGTTTCAATGGCAGATTGGACAAAGGGACTAAGAGGAAAACTAGAATTTGAACCTGACATCCTGGTTTCTCTTGAGCTATACATACCAATTTTAATAATCTGGAGAGAGGTGTAAAAAATTAACAAAACAGTTTTATTTTCAAAGATTGTGAGTTTAGTTTACTCTTAACTCCTCTGTATTCCTAATCACCTACATCCAGTTGGATTCTATGTCTTGCCGATCTTAAAAAAAAAAAAAAAACATTTGAGGCCAGGTGCAGTGGCTCACGCCTATAATCCCAGCACTTTGAGAGGCCGAGGCGCAGATCACCTGAGGTCGGGAATTCGAGACCAGCCTGACCAACATGGAGAAACCCCGTCTCCACTAAAAATACTAAATTAGCCGGGCATGGTGGCGGATGCCTGTAATCCCAGCTACTTGGGAGGCTGAGGCAGGAGAATCGCTTGAATCTGGGAGGCAGAAGTTGTGGTGAGCCGAGATCGCGCCATTGCATTCCAGCCTGGGCAACAAGAACGAAACTCCGTCTCAAAAAAAAAAAAAAAAAAAAAAATTGAATCAGTCCTATTTACTCTATTCTTTGTCATATTGCTTTAGTTTAAGTACTGGTAATCTTTCAACTGGCAGCCTATAGTTGAAACAGCCTAAATACTCTTTTTACCTTTTGAATTACTTCCCTAAAACCTATTGCATTGCTGCACAGAGTTTTCATTCTGTATAAGTTGATATAAAACCTATATTGACTTATGGCATCTTCCTGCTAAAAGTTTAAAAATACTTTTCCTCTGCTTTTTATTGTACTGTTTTACTTGGTATGACATTCTGAATTAGAGCAGCCGTGTAGTTTATCATCTGAATGAGACCCTTGGGACATTGAAAGTGGGCATATTAATAATTACACTGGGACAAAAGTTGTCTGGGCTTTGCCGAGCTTTCTAGCCCCATCCTCTTCTAAGAGCAGTTTACAAATGAGCAATACCAAAATAATTAGTGAACAAACACGGTTTCGAAGGTCTTCTATCCGTGTTGTTCACAGCTGTATCTGCAATGCCTAACGCACTGCTCAGTGCAGCATAGTTCCTCAATAACTATGTGCAAAGGGAGGAAATGAGGGAGGGAGGCATGGAAGAAGAAATGGGTAGATCAAAGAATTTTAGAAAGCTTGAATCTAGTATGCTGTTGTTTAAATGACATAGAGTTGAAGGTCTAACATCCTTGGAAAGAGGAAGGCATAGAAAGCCAAAGGAGGCACAGAGAACTTGGTAGAGGAAGGTTAAAAAAGGGAGGTCCCAGAATCAGACCACCCATGAAACTGACTTTCTGATTCCAACCAGGCTCTAGTGAATTTGACTGGAGAAACAAGTTTTTCCAGAACCTAATTATTCCTGTTAGAGTAACTACTGAGGTTTGTGCATAGCCAGGCTGGAAATCCAGAGAGGTGGCAATGACCTTGAGACCCTCCTCAGTGAAAGCTCTCTAATTCTAGGACCATGCAATTATTTTTAATTAGTACAATATAAGCTTAACAATGTTTTGTAATTTATTTTGTACTATTTTATAGTTTAACACACAACAACCCCTAAGGAGTGTAATTCAAGTGCAACTTACCCAAAGACTTCACTGCTTTTGTATCAGGTTGACATATTTTTACCGAAAACATATCTTAGTTTTGTGAAGAAAACTTTCACATTCTTCATTAATTCCTGGGCAGAGCTGTTTAAAAGAAAGTTTTGTCAGTAGCATTTTAGATGTTCTAACTACAAAGGAGATATGTAAATGTCCGTTTTGTACTTCTGAAAACAGGTGCAGTCTCAGTGAGAAAAAGAAAATTTGTCATGAGCACTGGAATAAAAAGGGAAATAATGAATAAGAACATAATTTAATTACATGAATGTCAGCCGTCTACACAAACTAGATTTGATGTAATTAAAGCACCTGGAACAAATAAAATGAATCAAGGAAATCTCTTTCCTTTTTTTGAGAAAGGAAGATTCAAAATTACATACTATTTATGGACAACTTGTACAAACTATGCAAAAAATAAGTGTGCATGTGAGTGTATGTGTGTGTGTGCACAAGAGAGAGGCAGAGAGAGTGAAGGGTAATTTTTCCTGGCCTCTTAGTTCATAACCAACAAAGCAGCCAATATAAGTTTTTTATAGTAAGGGGATAATATCTATAAATAAGTAGAAATTAAATATTGTTTTCAATGATCATGAGCCCCAGTAAAATAAAAATTACATTTATTTAAGGATTGATTATTTTAGTCTTTTCCCCAACATAAAGTCATACCAGGAGCTTGCTGTCTTTGGTAGGTCAGGAATGCTTATAGAGAAAGAAACAAATCATGAATTTAAATTTAGAGACAAAGAACGCTCTTTCCAGGAAGAACTACTCCTAACTAGTGGTTTGCTAGCATTGCAATATGCCACTGGGACATTTATCTGGGGAGCCATTTGTTCTGTGCTGTGCTTATGTAGGATATTTTGTTTGTTCTAGCTATCTACGAGCCTTCCTGTGAAGCCTACAAACACCTAGGACAGACATCAAATTATTACTGGATAGATCCTGATGGCAGCGGACCTCTGGGGCCTCTGAAAGTTTACTGCAACATGACAGGTAACTGTGTCATATTTATGTTTTATGAAGATGCTTTTCTATATGTCACGAATAAGTAGTTCCACCAATGGTTTGTTTCTTTGGTGCTATGTTTTTATCACAACATCTAATCAGCAACATATTGCTGGATTTGTTAGATAAGATGATGAAATGTATTATTAGAGCAATAAAACATTTTGACACTGTGCTTTTCAAAAAGTTCATGTTTGATGTGAACAATTAAGCATCATTTTTTTAAAATCAGCATGTAGGGGGAAAAAAACAGAAAGTAAAGTTGCAAAGTTCAGCCCAAAGAAAGAACTAGTAACCTAGATTAGGGAAATTTAGCATCACTGCTCCAATATTCTCACTGTGCATGCTAGAGGAAGCTTTTAGATCGTGACAGACCTTCCTCGATTCTCCATAATGATAGAAGAAATCTTTCTAAGTCCTGAAATCCCATTCTGATAATAGCAAAAATTACCTGAAGCTTTTATGAAATATATTTGGGCTTTTCTTCTTGGGAAGAGGACCTAGTTTTTCTCCACTTCCATGTGAAATGAGATTATGGGTTCTTGTCAACTTCCACAACAATGTGTAAAATGTGCAGATCTCTAAGATAAGAACAGATTTTCCATCAGACACTTGGCAATATCTTACGCTTCAAAAATCCAGAGGAAGGTGTGAGGTATGCATTATTTACTGGCTCCAGCAAAAGACCAGCATTTGATGTGAACTCCTGGGCATAATATGATAAGGGTAATGATAATAAGATGCTACTGATGGTAGTTACTGAGTGTGACTGTTTACCATCTGTCAAGTATCATGACAAATCCTTTGGACAGACACTTGAGTTTACATCCTGGCTTCATTAATCACCACATGTGTAATATTGGGCACTTTAGTAACTTTGCTAAATTCAGTAAACCTCAGAATCTTTATCTGTAAATGAATTAATGAGAATACCCACCTCATAGCATTATTGTATGAATACAATAAGGTAATCTGCATATGGTTCTTAGCTTATTGTCTAACACACGGTAAACCTTCAATAAAAGTTATTGGATGAAAAAATTTAAAGGCTTTAGTAGTTAAATAACTTGCCCATATTAGACCAGGTGTGGTGGTTCACGCCTGTAATCCCAGCATCTTGGGAGACTGAGGTAGGTGGATCATGAGGTCAAGAGGTCGAGACCATTCTGGCCAACATGAGGAAACCCTGTCTCTACTAAAAATCCAAAAATTAGCTGGGCTTCGTGGCACACACATGTAGTCCCAGCTACTCAGGAGGCTAAGGCAGGAGAATCACTTGATCCCTGGAGGAGGAGGTTGTAGTGAGCCGAGATCAAGCCACTGCACTCCAGCTTGGTGACAGAGCAAGACTCCATCTCAATAAATAAATAAATAAATAAATAAATAAAACTTGCCCATATTATTCAGGCAAATTCAAACTGAATTATATGCAGCCCATGGATCTTCTGGCTATAGTTCAGAACCACTTATAGAGTTTTATTTTGTCTTTGGTTTTGTTTTCTATACAAACTTCTTGGCTCCACCCCTGCAGACTCTGATTCATTATGTGTGAAGTGGAAATCAGATTGTAAAACTAGAACTGAAAACCATGAATGGTACTCTAGGCAAGCAGACACCAGCGAGGAACTCTCAGCAGTATCAGGAAGCCAGGCATGGTACAGAATGAAAGGGAAAATGATGAGGGCATCAGTGTAGTATGGAAGACATGTGGAGAAGATAATAAAATGGAAGCTGACCAGCCTGGGCAACATAGTGAGACCACATCTCTATTTAGAAAATGTCCCAGCTACTTGGGTGGCTCATGTGGAAGGATTCCTTGAGCCCCGGAGGTTCGAGGCTGCAGTGAGTTGTGATCACACTACTGCACTCCAGTCTAAAAGAGTGAGACCTGTCTCAATTTTTTTTTCAAAATAGAAATAAAAAAATAAAATGGGAACTAGCGTCCCCCTAAATTTCTAAATTTCCCCTAGAAATATGCAAGATGCTAGCTCCCAGTTTAATTTTTTTTTCTATTTTGAAAAAGAACTTTAGGCATGTCTCAGAGAAGGAACACACTTACCAGAGAGATTAATCTAAGAGTTCACTGACAGCTGGACTTGTCAATGCACTTGAATTCTTTTTTATATACCTTCATTTTTATCTTTTTAGCACTAAAATATTAACCTATGATAACTTGACTTAATTTATAAGAATCTCGATTCTGGTTTCTCCTAATATATGAAAATATATAATACAATTAAAGTCTATTCTTAACCTCAAGGGAAATCAGGGCATCGTGGCTTGGACTGGACAATTAAGAATTTATTTTAGTTATTTTCTTAAATTCATCTCAAAGGAAATTAGAAAAGAAAACAAAACTATAATATACATAATTCTCATATCAAGGACACACACAACACACAGGACTAGTCTACTCTCAGGAGAGCTTCTCCTGTGCATTGAACCCTTTGCTCAGAAACATATGTCTTATCTTCATCAATATCTCCCTTAAACAGCATGGCTGCAATTTAACTCAGCACTTCAAATGACTTCTGAGCTCTAAGGAGCAGAATACAACTTTTTGCAAGTAGAATTTTTTTTCTATTCATTCAAGATAGTTACAAACATCAGTGTGTTCAAGGACCCTTGAAGAATCTTGCCTTACAGGCCAGCAGGCACCTTTCAGTTCTTTGCCACTAACCAACCCTTCCTTTTCCTGGAAAGAATGTGGATTTAACATCATAAAGAGAGCATGATGCCACAAAGCTTGGCTTGGGCTATTCCATTTTCAAGAGATACATGTTAAAGAAGAGGAGGGAGTAACAGCATGAAGTAGTCTATAAAGTCTTGATATGTAACTCTATGTCATGAAAAATTATAAATGCTCCCCTAAATCCGAAGTATAAAAGGAGGCAAGCACTCAAAAAGGTGAAGAAGAGAAATGAGCCATATAAATCAATCCCCCAGGGCACAAGAGAGATTGGCTTATTCCAAAGAACTGAAATCCCAGTGGCTGGAACATAGTGAGCGTAAGAGAGTGACTCAAAATAAAGCAGGGGAAAGGTGGGTGGGGGCAGGCCAGAGCAGACCAGCCATAAGGAGTGTAGGGCAGAAAAAAGTGCGCTTTTTTTTATTATTATTTTTCAATTGCAGTGGGTGGTCGTCTATGGAAAGATTTTAAGCAGGAAAATAAGATCTTGATTGCATTCATACATCTACCACTTGGGCTTCTATAAGAGACAGCATGAAAACATTGGGACCAGCTCTGAAGCTATTATTGCAAAAGTCCAATGAAGAGATGATGCTCCCTTGAACTAGGGTAGGGATGGTTTAAAGTGATGAGAAATTGATACATTTTTAGATCTGTTTTGAAGGTAGAATTGACAGGATTGGTAAAAGTTTGGATGAGAATGTTTAAAGAGAGACAGTTATCAATACTAACTTCTCAACATATGGACTGAGTAGCTGGATGAACTTTAGTGCCATTTAGGAGAAGTGGACAATTAAGGGTAAAACAGTTTTAAAGGAAGCTCAAGAACTTACTTTTGACCTAATTAAATGTGAAGTGCCATGTGCCATCTAAACTGAGATGCAAATTTTACAGTTGGGTGAGCCCCAAAAGCCTGATTGGGTTAGAGATATAAATGTGCCAATTATTAGCATATTAATATATGAGAATTGATAATATCATTTGGGGGTTGATGTAACAGAGAAACAGCATCTCAGGAATGAGCTCTTAGAAACTCAATAGGCGGGACACGATGACTCACGCCTGTAATCCCAGCACTTTGGGAGGCCAAGACAGGTGGATCGCTTGAGCCCAGGAGTTCAAGACCAGCCTTGGCAACATGGTGAGACCCTATCTCTACCAAAAAAAAAAAAAAAGCAAAAACAAAAACTAGCTGGGCATGGTGGTGCAAACCTGTGGTCCCAGCTACTTAGGAGGCTGAGGTGGGAGGATCACTTGAGCCTGGGATGTCAAGGCTGCAATGAGCCATGATCACACTACTGAATTCCAGCCTGAGTGCCAGAAACCCTGCCAAGAAGAAGAAGGAGGAGGAGTAAGAGGAGGAGGAGGGGTAGAGGGAGGGGGAGGGGAAAGGAAGGGGGAGGGGGAAGGGGAGAAGGGGGGTGGGGGGATGAGGAATTAGTCCGTTCTCACGCTGCTATAAAGAACTTCCCTGAGTTCGTTCTCACACTGCTATGAAGAACTTCCCTGAGATTGAGTAATTTATAAAGGAAAGAGGTTTAATTGACTCACAGTTGCTCATGGCTGGGGAAGCCTCTGGAAATTTACAATCATGGCAGAAGGGGAAGCAGATGCCTTCTTCACAAGGCGGCAGGAGAGAGCATGTGAAGGCAGAATTGTCAAACACTTATAAAACCATTAGATCTCATGAGAACTCACTATTATGAGAAGTACATGGAGGAAACTGTCCCCATAATCCAATCACCTCTCACCAGGTCCTTCCCTCAACACTTGGGAATTGTGGGGATTACAATTCAAGATGAGATTCGGACAGGGATTCAGAGCCAAACTATATTACTCAATAATTCAATAGAGAGAGATTAGGGTTCTCGTGTTAAAATATTTAATAAGTGTTTGGAAAAATATACATAATTGAGGGTAAGTAGAGAAAAAGTGTCTGAGAGCATTTGGGGGGCAAACAGATCATCTGTGTGGAGGTTAAAATGACTGCTTGGATCCTAGAGAATGACAGAAAGACTTGGAGAATGAAGAGCAACTTGGCATCCATGCACACATATACAGTGGATGTGGTGGTGCCACAGACGTATGGCAAATAATAGCCACTAGAATGCGGGGAACATGGTATGGCCAGGAATAATGAACCTTCTAAGGATGCTGCATAGACAGCATAGGGGAGCCATGGATTGAGCTACATCCTAGGCAATTAGGGGGTGTTCTAAATGACAGAGCATTTCAAGCACTGCATAGGACACCAGCAAAATCTTCCCCAAAACGGCTGACTCATGAGCTGAGTGTTGAAGAACAAGTGGGTGTTATGCGGCTGAGAAATCAGGAGAAGGAAAAATAGGTCAACTTACAAAATGCTTTGTGTAGGATGCAAAGCAGTTGAAAGTTTGTCCTGAGGTGAAAGCAAGCAATGGATGGTTTCAAGCAAAAGAGTAATTTAATCAGGCATTGTATATTAAAAACATCACTTTGACAGCTGTGAATAATATTCTCCAAAGGACACCCAGAGATAAGACAGGGAAACAAGTTCGAAAGCCCCCGTAGTAATGCAGAGGTTGAAAATGGAGACTTAAAGTAGTGGCAATAAAGTAAAAGAGGAGGAGATTGATTTGATGGGTATTTAAGAAGAGGAGTTGGCCAGACCGTTCCTGATGAGACAGAGAAAGTTGAAAATGGTAACCACATGACATGGAGCACAGAGGAGCAGAGGAAAACTAGGAAAAGGGTAAGATTCTATGTTGCTTTGGGTCCCTGTAATTCAACCAGGTAAAGTTGTCCTACAGGCAGATGCTACGCAAAGTCACTGTAGGACCTTGAACACATTAAAAAAAAAATCTTTGGCCGGGCACGGCGGCTCATGCCTGTAATCCCAGCACTTTGGGAGGCCAAGGTGGGTGGATCACCTGAGGTCAGGAGTTGGAGACCAGCCTGACCAACATGGCGAAACCCCGTCTCTACTAAAAATACAAAAATTAACTGGGTGTGGTGGCGCACACCTGTAGTCCCAGCTACACAGGAGGCTGAGACAGGAGAGTCACTTGAACCCGGGGGGCAGAGGTTCCAGTGAGCCGAGATTGTGCCACTGCACTGCAGCCTGGGCAACACAGCGAGACTCCGTCTCAAAAAATAAATAAATATAAAATAAAAAAATCTTTGTCTCGGGTTTCTTGTAAATAAAGTTCAGTAATTGGAATAAGTTGATATCTTCACTGCCTTTCCTTCAAAAAAAAAAAGGAAAATATTTCCATTGTTACCATGAGACATGAAAAAAATCACTGCTTGCAGTCAAATAATTTAGACAGAGGCTTCTTATCTCAAACAAGCTTGAATTTACTATTTCTTGCTAAGTTTGACATAAATTGACTCTTCATTTTTTATCGTAAGGCAGTAGTTCTACTATGTAATTCTTCTGACTGTCTGCAGCTCAGAGCTACATCTCTTGGAAATTTAGAAATTAGGGGGTGTCCTAAATTATAGAGCATTTCAAGTGCTGCACAGTTGATGACATTGAGGAGAGAAGATTTTTCACAGAATCCTTTGTAGAAAAATTTATCATCCTGTGAAAGCCAAAGCCTGGTTTCTTTTTTTAGATCTTAGGGTACATGATAAAATGTGATCATTGTTAGCCTCGCCTTCCTTCTCCATTTTTATGCTCCCTCTGAAAATTTGGTGTTAAAACTTTTGTGAATATAAACTATCTTATATTTTCAGTATCAACCTCTTTTAATTGTATATTTCTAACATTTCAGCTTTTCATTTCCATTTTCTTCAGGTGTTACCAGCATCCTCTCCCTAGATACCCTGAACCTTTGTATTTAAAAGGTTCTTTCTGCTTTCACTTAGTTCTTTCTGCTAGATGATTAATAGTAACAATAGTAAATAATGCTCGATCCAGCCATTATTCTTGAAACTTTACTGTCTATCCTTAAACCTAAGACAATATTTTTCTTCATCTTCTATCCTCTAACTCATTTTCTCCATAACTCCCTTTGCATTCATTTTTTTCTTAATTTAAGCAAGCATCTGTGCTCTAGTGCGTGAAGTTTAAAGTCCAAATAAAGTACTCCTCTTGCATTCTTCCTAGCCCTGGTTTTGTAGTTTTATCAAAAAGCCATTAAGCTTGTTTACATAATTTGTGCTTTATAAAGCCCCAGGATTTAGCTGATCAAATTCTATTATCCTCTCTAATAGTGAAAGCTGTTCGTGTCTTTTTAATCTAATATTTATAGAGAGCTTGTAACGGAAGTTTCTAAGCGCTTGCACTCAGTATTAGTATCGTATTTAGTATTATGTTTCTCACAAGTTTTACAAGTACAGTGTGGGCAGGAGGAAATGGGTCACTGAGGTGGTGGACTTGGGCTCCAGTGGAGAGTATCATAAACCCACCCACCTCCACCTCCCCCTCCCCGTGTCCACAAAGCAAAACAGTTTCTATCCTATAGTACAGTCATGCACCACATAGTATTTCAGTCAACAACAGACTACATCTAGAATGGTGGTCCTATAAGATTATAATGGTGTATGTTTACTGCACCTTTTCTATGTGTAGATAGGTTATATACACAGACACCATTCTGTTACAATTGTCCACAGTATTCAGTACAGTAATATGCTGTACAGGTTTGTAGCCTAGGAGCAATAGGCTTTACCGTACAGCCCAGGTGTGTAATGGGTTATGCCACTGAGATTTGTGTAAGTACACTCTATGAGGTTTACACAATGACCAAATCACCTAATGACACATTTCTCAGAACCTATGCCTGTTATTAAGTGACACATGACTGTACTATTTTCCTTAGCAGTTTACAGTAATACAAATTTAGTATCCACAGTTTCTGTGTGTCAAGGCACAGGTGACCTGGGTCAACTGCTCAGAGTCTTGCCAGGCTGAGACCAAGGTGTCACCCAGGGCTTGGGTTTTACCAGAGACTTGGGATCTTCTTGGAAGTTTATTCAAGTGTTGATAGATTCATTTCCTTATGGTTTAAAGACTGACGTCTCCTATTCTTATTGTCTATTGGCCCCAGATTGCTCTCAGCTCCCAGAAGCTGCTCCCAGCTCCCTGCCTTGTGGCTCTGCCTGTCCAGGAGGAGCTCTCTGACTCGCTTTCCAGCGCTGACCTGACTTGGTCGTCACTCAGGATAATTACCCATTTGATTAACTCAAACCCACCAGTTTACAGCCCTTAATTACACCTGCAAAATCTCTTCATCTTTTCCATGTAAAGAAGCCCGGTCCCATTAGTGACACCCCATCATATTTGATGGCCCCACCCCCAGTCTAGGAGAGGGTATTATGCCTGGTGTACCCACCAGGTGGCTAGAATCTTGAAGACCATTTTAGAATTCTGTTTAGCATGCTTACCTATGTGCCTCTGTAAATTATTCATAATTCCAGCAACCTTTATTTCTACCTTTTGAGTAACAACAGTGCCATATTTAGATTATAAAATCTTAGGCTTTACTGTTAATGCTCTTATAATTGTAACATATTGTTCTGTAAAAACTTTGACAATAAAGATAAGCAAAAATAAAAATTGCTTGTCAACCAGAAATGACAATTACTAACACATTAGTCACTGTGCAATAAAGATTGTATATTTTATACAGGTACCTGCATACATAATTGAGGGCAAACTAAATGCCAGGCACATTTTTAAAATATCACATGCATTAACTCATCCAATAACTCATGACGACCTCACAAGGTGGGTAATACTATTGTTCTCCCATTTTTTGATGATGAAACTAGAGCTCAGAGAACTTAAGTACTGGGCCACACATGTAGTAAATAATAAAGCTTGACTTTTCAGCCAGGCTTGTGTGTTCAGAGCTGGTTTGTAGTTACCGTGTGTATGTGTATGTGCACACACAAGTTCACACATATATAGGAACAGCACTCCTCATTTTAGATTCTGTAGTACGATTTGCAATATGATTGCTGAAATGAGCATTTTTTATTCAAATCTCTTCATTATCATTGAAACTTTCTTACACAGCTCTGATTCATTATCTGTGGTTTGGACAGCATTTTTGTTATAAACAATTTACTTCTTAATTATCTAACTAATGCCTTGGGGTTTTTAATCAGAGGACACATTTTAAATGAAATCGATATATAAACCATTATAGGCAATTAGTATGATTTTTAGTTCTTTTTTTTATTATTATTATACTTTAAGTTTTAGGGTACATGTGCACAATGTGCAGGTTAGTTACATATGTATACATGTGCCATGTTGGTGTGCTGCACCCATTAACTCCTCATTTAGCATTAGGTATATCTCCTAATGCTATCCCTCCCCCCTCCCCCCACCCCACAACAGTCCCCAGAAGTGTGATGTTCCCCTTCCTGTGTCCATGTGTTCTCATTGTTCAATTCCCATCTGATGAGTTCATTTTTAATTCTTAATTCAACTACAAGTATTTTCTCTAATATAATTTTCTAAGAGCTTTACATAATTTGTATATTTCCTGTCTACCTAGGTTTATCATCCCTTAAGGTTTGAGCCCAGCTTTCAGAATAACTTAAACTCTATCCCCAACATCTAGTTAATTTTTCAATGTAAAGTCTTAAACTGAATCTAACAAAATCTTGTTTGAATATGCAACAGGATTGAATGGAATTGTACTGGATATCATCGGTAACAATGATCGTAGTGTCTCATTCTTCCCCTTTTAGAGAGGAAATCATGTAGAAATGAGGACACACAGAGCTCTCCTATTCTATATTAGGGCTTATTAACATTCATAAGTTGGGCGCTACTAAGCTTCTAACCCCTTCATTTTCCTTTATATCATAACTATTTCTCTGATGTGTATACTGGCTTCCTCCATTATATTCCCTCTACTCATTTTTATTTCTTTCTCATCAAAGCCATTTTCTCTCCTCTTTCTGTCTCCTAACCTAGTTTACCTCCTCTATGGTTAACCCACTCAGAGAATAGCTGTCCTTTATGTCTTCTTTCAGACACATCTTCTCCTCTTTGTCGACCTCTCACAGGCTGTCTTTGTTATAAACCTTTGTAATCACTCAGCAAGTCCTGCTTCACGCATTCAGCTATTTCAGTTCTTCACAATCAGTATAAATCTTTGAATTCAATTCTGCTCATACAGCTTCAATTGAAAATCTCGGAACCAACTCACTGATCAAACACAGCCTGTAAAGAACTCTTCTCCGTAACGGATTACCCACTCCCAAAGACTCCCTTCTGGATTCAGCCTCATTCCAGAGCTTCTGCCTGCCAGGCTTTCTTTGCAATCTCATCTTCATTGTGTGTCAGCCATAGTGATAGGTTAATACTATAGAAGTTCTCAAATGGTTTTCAAACTTCAAATTAAAAAAAAAAAAGAGAGGAAAACCATGAGATCCAGTGAGGCCTACACCACAGGAGAGGACCCAGAAAGGGGGTACAAGACCCCAGGTGAAATCAAGATGAAGTGGCTTTAGGTATATCACAGGTCACTCAGCCCTTCTGAGGTTTCCAAAATCGTACTCTCTATGCAAATGCTCTTCCTTCAAATGTTTTCATGTAACCTGACAAAACAATATCTTATAGACACTGCTTGATTTTGTGCTTTTAAAAGCACTGCCTTTCTTATGCAATTTCTCTGCTCAAAATCCGAGAAAGACTTCACAGTGTGGATGGCTAGGGACTGTTGTTTGATTACCTCTGGCACTTGGAATCTGAAACTCTTGCCTAGTCTACAGTAATCAACTATTCAAACAGGATGGGAAACACACACACACACACACACACACACACACACATGTTGGGAAATTCAATTAAGATCAACTCATTTCTTTGCAATCAAAAATCAAAAACCACAGGAATAATCTCATACTTTTTTTTAACTAGGAATTTCTCTCTTCCGGCTAAACTTAAAGCCAATAATAACTGTTTCTGTTTCTCCAAACTTTAGGTTTTTCCAATTTGTGGATCACCTTTTATTTCTTCTGAGGATGTCAAGTTTCATATCAGAATGTCCCTGGAAATTTTAGAAAGAAAATCTCATATAGCAGCTAATCTCTCTTTTTATCTTGTGTCTTTGTCCAATCACCACAACCAAGAAAGTTAAATAGTAAATTGCACCAATATTATATGTTGCCCAAACTGGAAAATATTTAAAGTTTTATTTCCTGGACCTGACTTAAACTAGAGGCCCTAAAACTTTTCAGTGCCCCACATAAATGATTGCTGCATAAAAGTACTTGTCTCATTAATGAAGAATGAAAATACAACTTTGGGAAAAAATATCCCTGTGGATGAAGTTGTCAAAAAATCTGTTTGCTGCATTTACGTACAGACAATTTCATTAGCATTGAACTCTTCACATAATTATTAATCTCATGTTCGGTTTTTACTCAGATTTCTGAACAAAATCAGCATTAAAAAGTGAGATTAGGCAAAAACTTGCTGTATCATTCACTTCATCATCATTACTGTTGTTATTCATGTTTTGCTTTTATGTGCATCCATGTTATTCTATCTTCACTGGACCCCTATTTGTCCTTCTGTTTCTAAGCTCACTTGGTGTAGCTCTAGGTTTCAGGGCTAGGACAAGGCAGCATAATTTTGAGAGATGAAATGAATGCCTTTGCTGCTCCAGGCAGCAGGGCATGGAGGACAGAGCGGGAAGTTTGTTAGTACATTGTAGAATCTGATATCTTTTTGCTCTCAGGTTTTAAAAGACTATAAAATAATATTGAGCATCTTGCTGACATTTCACTTTGTTCTAACATGAAGTGTTTGCTCTCTATATCTGGGGTATACCATCATCATGGACTTCATCTTCACCATGTCTGTGTTTATTTATCCAAGAATGTCTTCATCCCCCCTATATTGGAATGCATGATTTTTATATAATGTCTTCTTCATTTTAATTTTACCCTCTAATGTGGATATAGCACATCCCCTGGTAGCTTCTTGATCCTTTAGTACAACCTACTTCTTCTCTGAAAGTTAGAAGAATCTTGTTTTTGTTCCAGATGTTCTGAAATTTCAAAACAACGTGACTTGGAATAGGTCAGTTTTCATGTATTTGCTGGGTGTTCACTTTAACATTGGCAACTCATGTTCTTACATTTCTTTTTATTTATCTGTTTGTGATTCTGTCTCTTATGATTTATCTATTGTCTCTTTCTAGAATGCTTTTCATTGTGGTTTTAAATCAGAGTTCTTTTTTCTTCTTGAAAATTTCCTTTTCTAATGGCGTTCTATTACTGCTTTATGAATGCAATACCTTTTTTGTATCCCAAGGATAATAAAACATCTTTTTTTCCCTTCTTTCTTAGTTTTCTCCAAGTTACTTGATTCTGTTCATTTTTTTCTGACCTTCACAGCTTTCCTCATATTCGTGATTATTATTAGCTGTGTGTTTATTATTACGAGTGGGAGGGTCTTGTTGACTTGGAGCTTTACTGTGGGTTAGAGTAACAATTATGTCCTGGCTTGCTCAGTACAGTCCCATTTTACTCCCATTGCCCTGATGTCCTTGTGAATAGCTCTTCCTTTTATTCTCAGTAGTGTCCTTGTTTGGATGATAAATTATTTGATCACCTCACTGCAGAGGAAGCTGAGTGTTCCCGTTTTAGGACTCTCTCATCTGTTGTCAGCATTATTTTTTTCATTTTCTCTTTATTAGTCAGGTTCTCTAAGGATACGTTTTAAAATTCTTTCCTGGAGGTTTCTGATCTGGTTGCCAACAATCTTGGAACCATTTGGGGAAAGAGGTCTAACAGCATGAACATTCAGTATTTGGTACAAGTGTAGGCAATCTCCATTTTCTGTGTAGTTTCCACATTCTTTGTAATACTTGGTTCTTCTCAATGCAGGGATTCTTTTAGAAAATAAACCTCCAGTTATCTCCCAGAGTGAGAGAGGAGTAGTCAATCAGCCACAAGGCTTAGGAGACCTAGGGATCTACTATCTGTCAAACAGCCTTAATGCAGTTCTCCTTACTTTATTAATTACTGAATCTTTTATGGATTCATGGTCGAAAGTTGGGTTGGTTCTCATCTTTCCAGACTTTCAAGTTAAGATTCAGCATTCTACTAAGTCAGTGAGCACATATTCATTTACTTTCCATCCTCCAAAATTGTATTGCTAGTATTGATTCATATTCTCCCGGTCTTTGTGGGAAATGTGTGTGTGTGTGTGTGTGTGTGTGTGTGTGTGTGTGTGTGTGTATTCCCTAGCTTTAGGAGTATGCATATGTGTATGTGTGTGTGTGTGTGTGTATTCCCTAGCTTTAGGAGTATGCATATGTGTGTGTTTGTGTGTGTGTGTGTGTATTCCCTAGCTTTAGGAGTACGCATATGTGTGTGTGTATTCCCTAGCTTTAGGGGTATATATATGTGTGTGTGTGTGTGTGTGAGAGACTGTGTGTGTATTCCCTAGCTTTAGGGGTGTGTGTGTGTGTGTGTGTGTGTGTGTGTGTGTATTCCCTAGCTTTAGGGGTATATGTGTGTGTGTGAGTGTGTGTATTCCCTAGCTTTAGGGGTGTATATATGTGTGTGTGTATTCCCTAGCTTTAGGGGTATACAACTGTGTGTGTGTGTGTGTGTGTGTGTATGTGTGTGTGAATTCCCTAGCTTTAGGGGATTTAGAAGGCATATAAGTTAATTGTCAGTGTGCCAGTGTTTACTCACCATCCTAACCAAGGTGCAGCTTCTTTATTTTTAATTCTGTAATTTAATGTCATAAAACCAAATAGTTCAAATACATGTTTCAAAACACGTATTTTAAAATGTATGAAAATCTCCAAATTTTAATGTAAATTAATAAATTTTCCTTTTTGGTTAAGGAGTGTCATAATTCTTAAAGTGTTTATTATTGATTATCTGCTGTATGAGAGGTAATATGATAAATTCTTTCATCTATTGTGTTTCATTTATTCTTCACAATAACCCTGAGAAGTATTAGGGTCCCAATTTTGAGATATGGAAACTGAAACACAAACAGATATTAACATTCTCTGTAACACAATTTACAAAAGGCTGTTTACACAAAGAATATAGATTTGGATGACATCCTGTATCATTTAGTGGCATAAGTGTGTCACTTTCACTTTTTAATAGGTTGAAACATTCGAAGAAACCCTCAGTTCTTATAATAATATAAATTACTATTATTATTATTTGAAAATTTTTTTCTTCTCTCTATGATTTCTGGTTAACTGGATTCTAGACTGATCAAGGGCCATGTCTGTCTTGTTTACTACTGAACCCAGCAGAGTGTCTGGTATATGTCAGCACTACTACTGCTGTGAATAGACCTCACCACTGTGTCTTTTTCAGTAGAGCTAAGTAGCCACCACCAATCTCAGTGCTAAATAAGAAAACAAGTTTGAGATAGGTAAGAGTGTGCATCACTTATAATTAGAAGACATGCGTTTATTAGCAATATGCTAAAAAAATCATTCCCACAATCTGTCCTATAAACTTGAAAAAGTCCAAGTGCTCTATCCTTTTAGGTGCTCCAACTTGTCCTTGTATGGCTGTTTTTACAGTAAATATGAAAATATTCTAGAAGCAGGATTGAGTTTGCCTTATACTGGGATCAGGTAACTAGAGTCCTCTAATTTAATGACTGAAAAAGATCTATTTAAGAATCAGGCCTCAGTCAGCATTATGAAAAGTAAAAGGTAAAGAGTTCACTAGATTCTTTCATCATTTTGATGCAAGAGTGAAGAGTTACTAAAATGTTTTAGCTAAGCAACATAGGTGAACATCAGTAATTTCTTCCACCAGTGAAAAGTCAACTTCCATAATGCAACTAACAATTAAATTTATGTAACAAAATAGCAGGTTTTGAGCTATGATAAATGCAACTTATACGTTTGGGGTAGTATCTACCTCTAAAATCTGTTCTTTTAATGAAATGCTAGCCAACCCCCCTATGAAGTGTGGGTTTTGTTCTCGCTTAGGGTGACTGACCAGCCTTACACCAACCCTTGGATATAGAGCCATATTGTCTAATACACATGCAATTATATCTAACCATCCTTGGGATGTATTTTAAAAGTAAATTACAAACCACATAGCCTATGAGTTGACTATCCAGGTAGTTTTACCAACTGTTTATAAAAGAAACTATGTCAACATAAAGCAGTCAGTTTGGAAAACACGTGCAAGAGATGGTTACTTTCACGTGACCAGCATGTTGCTTAGTTGTAACATGCTATAAAGGGTTGTGTTTTACTAACAGTGTCACTGATGATCCTCGGTTCATTCATCATACTTCTGCGTCACTGCTGCTACTTACTAACTACAATCCCAGGCCAGCTTAAGCATTAGTTTTCTTTACATTTTGCTTTGCTCATTGCTTCTTTAATATATCCTTATTACCATAGTCTTCCCTCTGTGTTCTCCAGTAGATAGAAGAAGAGGATTTGACATGACGCTAAGCACATTAATATAATAGTTTCTTCTCCCAGTGGTATTTGCATTTCAAAGAGAATAACAACAAGATGAACCAAAATATGGAAGCAATATTTTCAGACAGGATACCTTCCATTGCTCTCTAAATCACTCCTATCTGTAGCCCCCATTCTACTTGTGTATACAAAGGCTTGTAGCCCATGTAACGTTTAAAGTCTCTCCCATGTAGAGTTTCTTCTATTGGGGTGGCAGGAGGGGGCTGAAATGGCAAGCCACTATTTCTATTAACTGCTCTGTCTTTTGCTTCAATATCTGTTTCATAACAAGTTTTTTTTTTCTCAATAGCTACCCCATTTTATAGGCAAAGGCTCAGAGGAAAATGAGATCAGAGAAAAAAAATGAGTTAAATATCATCTGCAAACAAATATAAAGCAACACACCATGCAAGAAAGGCTCACCCCCTCTGGATAGAGAATTCTCTCTTGGTATCGTGTTGGTGTCATTGTTCTCACCACCTCTACTCTCCTCAAGTTTATCTTTTCTTTGGGAGTTCCAGATTCTATTTATTAAGTATCCAGTATTTCCATACACAGTATTCATTTTTAATATTGAAATCCTAATCTCCATTCCTATTGATATTTGATAGCAAAATGTTCCAACTTCTATACAACATTTGAGTACTTCCTTCATTGTGGCCGCTTTAGAATCTATCTGTATGTAACTATGGGTAGGCAAGGACCAAACTTGCTCAGAAAGTTTCATAGATGCTGCGGTTTTATCATTACATTGCCTATCTGCATGGTGATTTTTTTAATCAGTTATTATAAGCATGTTTGATACTTTTGATTGATAATGGAAAGTAAAGGAATGAAAGTTCAGCTAATTAAAAGAGATGATTAGAAAGAAGTTGGCTTTGCAGGAGATTGGTTGATAAAACAACTGATATTTTCTTTTTCTTGTTTCAAGCCTTGGGCAGAACTCTTATGAAAGCATTTAGAATTTAGAGGGCTTGTCATGGCCACACTAAGCATCTGACTCATCTGGTTGCTGCAATGTCATTAAAATGAATTTTTGGTGCCGGTTCAATTTGTCTTTGGCTCTACAGACATGACCTTATTCACATTGATTGCTCTCCCATTAACGGTAGTGTAGTAAAGGAAACGAAATAAGAATATAGTGTTCAAAAGCAGGTCTACATGCAAAGGGTTTCTTTAACAGTATTATTATATCATGATGTTTTCAGAGATGTGAAGTATATTTATTAAGTATATTCCTAGATTATAAGAATGTTGCTTTAAATGATATATTAATTTTCTACCATAGTGGAAAATTATTTAGTATACAGTATAAATCATTCCTAAAATAAAAAATTATGGGATTTATATAAGCATGTCAATATCAACTTTTCATTTAGAAAACTACAAAAGAAACCATTTATTTAAACACTTTAAAACCCTGTGTATTACGAAATTAAAGTATCATTTTCAACAGAGATACAACTTTTCCGTCTTTTGCCTTCTCTAAGCTTAGAAAACTCACAAAGTTTATGAACTTTAAATCAAAATCAATGTTTCTTAGTTTCTCATCAATATTATTTTAAAATATTGAATATCTTTAATAAATATGGAGAAAAAATTAATTCAGAAATATTCTTGCAAATTGGTCTCTTTTAACATAATCTTTAAGTCATTGCTTACACTTCCCAGTCACTTTAGTAAATTCTTAATTGACGTGGTTCCAAATCTCTTCCTAATTCTGGTCATTATGTTCTTTTTTAAATGTAATGAACTGTGTGGTGTGATTAACAGCAAGCTTCATGCCAAGTACAATACAGTGGGGTTTTATCAGATAGCAGAGAGAGGGTGTGAATCGTTTCCCAGACTTATGAAATATCTATGTTTATCATTCTTTGTTATCTCCCAGGTACAGTTTTTAGAATTTTAATGTGTTTAAATAAGCTTGCATAATTGTTAATGTATTTACTTAACCAATATTTATGAGTGCATCTTATGTTTCAGGCATAGGTACACAGTGACAAACACACATAAAATCTGATTGTGTGGAACTTATAATGTTATAAGTATGTATAAAATTATTTCAAATAATCTGTTATAATATGCCAGTGATACAGTTGTTGCTGTCAGAGACATTGAATTATTGAAAAATGAGAAAAGTTTACATTATTAATATGCCATTTATAGCCAATTTCTGATAGATAGTTAATTACCTTAAGAAAGCAATTCTCAAACTTTAGTGATTTGTGCATTGTCTTCAGAAGTTTCACCAAGCCCCAGACCACCTATTTAATTATTTAATAAATATGTTTTTAATGGACTCCCTTTTTAAAATCTTATTCTCATTCTAAGCAACAATTTCCATGAAAGGTTGTGTTTAGTTCACTTGACATTGCTTCCTACTGTGCTGTCAGAACATCATATTGTTTAGATATATCATAATGCAATATCATATGAAATGATATTTCACAAACCATCAATGGTACATACACTTGGGAAATTCTGGCTTAACTAAATCCTTGTACCTAATTTAATAGGTACTTTTCTCCAAAACTATTAACTTGTATGACCTTAGACCAAGAATTGTGACTAGTACAATTCACAAATTGTCAAAATTGAATACCTTATCTAAATGCAAAGAAGTCTTCAGCATAACTTTATTTTAAAACACAGATGTTGTGATTTGATAGTAAATTATTCAACTGGATTCTAATGAGTTATTTGCTGACTGTTCATGCATGTTGACCCAAGTACTCTTCATTCCCACATCTGTCCTTTAGACAGTCTCCTTTTTCTGTCCTTCCAACTATAACTCTGATTTAATATTTAATGAACAATTACTATGTTTTATATTCCTTCCCTCAAAGAAGACAAGCTGTCCCAAGACATTCTAAAATGACCACTCCTCCCACCCCTGTGAGTTCTCTGTGCAACCCTGCCGTCCCTGGCCTCTCCTTCTGTCTCTCACCTTACCAAGCTCTTAGTCCTAAGTTTCAGGTAATGGCTATTACACCCTCACTGAATTTTGAGCTGAAGAGAATATTAATTACCTAGTCACATCTAGTTTTACAGATGAAAAAATTGAGACTTATGTTTTGACAGTCCATACTTAAATGCTGAAATTTTTTTTAATTGGGTTCAGCATCTTCACAGAATTAACCCCAATCATGACAGTTCGAACATTTCCTGAAAACACCTTGTATTGCTGTCTATTTCCATCGGTTTGCAAAATGATGTTGATCTTGTTTTTTACATTATCATTTTTTTTTTTTTTGAGACGGAATCTTGCTCTGTTGCCCAGGCTGAAGTGCAATGGCACGATCTCTGCTCACTGCAACCTTCGCCTCCCAGGTTCAAGCGATTCTCCTGCTTCAGCCTCCTGAGTAGCTAGGACTACAGGCATGTGCCACCGTGCCCAGCTAATTTTTGTATTTTTAGCAGAGGCAGGGTTTCAGCATGTTGACCAGGCTGGTCTCGAACTTCTGACCTCAGATGATCCGCCCGTCTCAGCCTCCCAAAGTGCTGGGATTACAGGCGTGAGCCAGTGCGCTCAGCCCATTATTTGTTTATCTAATAGCTTAATCATTCATCACTGACATTTTGAGCATTTAAACAACATCATCCTCAATAAAGTTCTAGAATTTCTCCAACGCTGTGTTCTAGACATGGCACTTCATGTGAACAATTCCACAGGAAGTAGGTGGTACTATTACTATTCGCTTTTATATGTGAGGCAGCCAAATCATAGGTAGATAACTGGCCTAGAGTCAACCATTATTAAGCAGGAGAGTGGAAACTAGCTTTGTGTGATGTTGGAGATCACCATTTTTGTCACTTCATTATAATATCCACTTTATTCCAGGTGCCATTCTAGAGGTATAAGATACTGTATAAATTTATAAGACACAAATTATATTTTTAACAGATCTTTGGTCTAGTTTAAAAGACAGAAGTAAAAGTATTTATTCACCAGATTTACATACAAGTAATTTTGGGCTATTGTCACAATTCAAATCTACCTTCATAGGAGAAACATTCATGATTATGGATATACATGGAACCATGCTGTATAGACAATTCCAATCAAAATGCTCCACATTGCTTTGGACAATGTCAGGATCACTGGAATAAGTACATAGCATGGCAAAATGAGTTTTGTGTTGTTTTTCCTCCTGGAAATAAAGCCAATATAAGACCCCTGGTCAACCAAGAGAAAAGCCCATAAAGGCAGGTTCCAGTAGCTCAGAGTAAGTGTATAGGATTTCTTGTGACAAAAGCATTGTGACATATTATCAGTGAATTTCCCTTCTCCCATCCAAATCTGGTGATTAGTCATTAACTCCAGCTTAACAGCAACTCAGCAGTAACAACATGTACTCGGTTTAGTTATCTGAAATAAAACAACAACAAAATGTTTCTAGTGGTATGACTGTTGTAAAAATATACATTATATACAAAGCAGAGAACTTATACATAGTAGGAGTTTGCTAAATAAATATTTCTAATTGATTAAAGAAAATACAATAGTAAGGGCCTGCCTATTTATACATATAAATAATTTGAGTTATGGAATGTAATGTGAGATTATATAATTTTTTCTCCTTGTGCTGTAAGATATGAACAAAGAGATTTTAGAAGAAAAAGATATAAAGAATTGTATCACTTATTAAAAACTTAGTTTATTGAAGTTCTTTAAGAGACATTGTACTTTTAAAGAATTTTCATAATAGCCTCAAGTTTCAAACAAGTGAATGTCTGTAATTGACAGCCAACTCTAATGAGAGTTGTGGTGTTGGAAATTAGCTTAGTATCTTCAATTCTTTACCCTGAACTGGTTTACACTGGCACTTGTAGATTGCATGTTCTTATTGGAGGTGACATTGAGAGATTACATTAAGTTGGTTATCGATCATACTGTATAGGTTCACTTTACTAAAATGTAATCTCTGTTTCAACAAATCTAAATCTGACAAAATATGCCATTTTTATGCCTTATGGACTCAGAGGTTATAAGGGGGATGAGAGGCAGGTTGCAGCCCCAAACTCTGGGCATTTCAAATCTAGCCCAGAGTGTTATTTATTAAATCAAATGATACATATGAAAATGTTTCCTATATTTAATATGCAGATATGAAACTATAGTACTTTAAAAAGTACAAAACAAGTGTCATTGAATACTTTCTATCTACAAAACATTCTGGAGAGTATTTGAATGAATAAATCAATTCCCTCCAGATATTTAGTAGTAAAGAAATTCTTTATGCCAATAGTGATTTATCTATCCTAATTATCATAACAGAAGTAAAACAAAATAGTGAATATATTTATTTTATTATTTCTAGCTTATCTTATTAATTGTGTCAGCTTCTTTTCCTATTTTTCCTCGTATGAGTTAATCTGGTCTTATTCTTTCTGAACTAACCATATCCTACCCTGACTTTACCAAACATACAAAAGTAACTATAGCCAAAGCTACTAATATTAATCTGGACTTCCTTATGCAAAACAATGTTCACATTCATTTAACTGCGGACTCTAATCCCCAGAGCCTATTTAATCATTATTGTGATATCGTTTTTGTTACTTCAAACATTTGGCATGCAGGCAGAAACATGTATATGTGTATTCCTGGGAAATCTATCAAGCAGATTCCCAGGAAGTCTCCTAAGGTGATATTGATTACATTCATAATATTATTATTGTTCAGAGACCTTGTTGAAAACCAAGAGGTGGTGAAAGCCTAAGCGAATGACCCATTAAATAAAACTCAGTAGACTGATGTATACAACTAAAAAGCCAATTAATTTAATTTATGAGAAATAATTATCTAGAAACCCTGAAACTCAAAATTATAACTACTGCATCCTCTCTCTATGGCAGTTCCACATAATCAGCTCCATTTGGGGGCTTAGAATCAGCATGAAAGGAATTACATAAATCACATGAATTGATGACATACGGCTAAGCCTGTTTGTTGCATTATTTTGCTACTTCAGTCTGCTGGATAAAATTCCTCTCCATTGGATAGTGCTTTGACAATCACCAACCACTTCTGCTCCTACAACTCTATTTTTTTTCCAAACTTTTAAAATGGAACAAATACCATTCTGCTCATTTCTTATATATATATATAAAAGACATGACATATATATATATATATATATATATATATAATGTCAAACAGATTAAAATTAGTTCTTTCTGACTTACAAATCAATCCATCTCATATAGGTTAGTTTACATTTTTCTATTCTGATCCATGTACCAATTTTAAAGTTTAACTCTTTGCAGATAATTGTATTCCTCACATGTCCACATTGTGGGGACACCAAAGTACTCACAGCATATTCTCTAAGGGGAGATGTCTATAAGTCAACATTATAAAATATGAACATTATGTTTACTGTCAGTGTCTCAGTTAACAAAATAATTCATTGATTCTCAGATCCATATGATTTTTCACAATTTCAACATCTCTGAAATCAGCATGTGTCTTACTATCGGTAGCATCTCACAATCTCTATTGGCCAAGCCGAGACGGTGGCATGGGTGTCTCTTCCTGTGGACATGTGGCACTTGTATCAAAACTTGAAGAATAGGCCTCAGTGCCTTAGAGGAAAGTTCTGGAGACAATAGAGGCTCAACCTTTTTAAGAACTCTGTCACCAATGCTTTTGTAGACAGAGAGAACCATTCAGAGGGCACATCAGTGATTCAAGCCGCAAAGTGTTTCAAGAGCGTTAGACTATGAAAGAGAAGAAATTTGGGGAATGGCTCAACCAAGTCATGTCACTTATGTTTTCCTTTTCAAGTATGCACAAAAGTGATATAATTTTTAAAAGATTAGAAGAGCTCTTTTGAGATGCTTCATTTTCTCTTTCTTAGGGGTTCACGATAGAGTGGTGTATCTTACAATCCATGGCCTCCTAATTATGAAATATAACAATGCATACTTTCAAGTAATATTCCATCTGTATACATTTATTAGACATTTTAGAAATACTAGGAGCAGAAATCAACATCTTTTTCAAGGCGGGCAAATCTTTATTTACTCCTTTGTAAAGGATCATTTTAGAAAGTCATTTCCTTATTCTGAAATATGTAGTGGATAAATTTAAGTAATATTTTCAAATTCTGTCCTAATAGCAAATGGAAAAATTAAAGCTGTTGATTCATGAAGTATGATGATCTATTCTATTACCACAGAGTCAAAGCCATTACATGGTTTGCCTGTGAAAAAATAGTAGAGAATACAAATTTGTGTAGATAAGATATGGGAAGAAAATGTCATGTTTAAATCTGTAAATGGAATTCCCTGGAAAAGGGTTAGCAGCACCACTATTACCGATGTGAAAAATTCAGAGCTTCTTGCCTCTTCCTCTCTGATCCAGAGATGCTGCTGAGAAAGAAACAGCTCTGTTTTGAAGAGGCTACAGCAGGCAGGCATCTTCATGCTTACACAGGCCTCTCTCTGCTGAGGTGGCCTCTTGGGGAAGCCTCACAAAAACTCCCTATCCTCAGCTCCCAGGATCAGGGGAGAAGGATGCCCTTGATGGCCTGCGGAGATCTTGAGACAAGGCATGCGGCCAGGACAGACGTTGATTGGCATGACCCTCAGTGAGAATCTCAGTGACCTTCCTAGGACCTCCTGGGTCTGCTAGGGCACATCAGTCTCTGAGTCTCTGTGTTGCCCACAGCCTTCTGTCTGCACTTTCCTATTTGACAGAAACAGCTTCATAAAAGCAGTTCCCATAAATTGAATTCCCGTGGCTTGACCTAATTTACTATCTCCATATGTCGGTTCCAAATCAGCAGCAGGCATATTTACAGACCTGGGTTGGTTGGCTTACCCAATTAAAGATGTTAAGTAATTAAAGTGTATTACTTTTTCAAGTATGGAGTATTATTTTTCAAATAATGCAGTATATCCTTATATACTGCACTATTTAATATGCTGTTCTAATTTAAAAAACAATAAATATCATTACTATGAGTTAGGAATAAAATAACTGGTGAGTTATATATATACAAATTTATATGTATATTTGATATAAAATTATATATAAATATAAATACATTTACATTGTATACAATTATATATGTGTAAATAATATTTATTATCTCATTATAGATATATAGATCTATTAATATATAGATAGATGATATATATAGATCTATATATATGATATCAATATATGTGTATAGCTATAGATGATATTAATGTGGAATCACAACTAGAAATAAATAGTAGGCAAAGGTAATTTTGAGGCCAAAAATATAAATACTTATAATCTCTCACCTTTAATTAATTCAGATTTTAAATAATTGACCAACTTATTTTAAATTATTTTCTATGGAATTTCTGTGGTGTTTTACCTCTCTAAAAGTGTGTGTGTGTCTGTTTGTGTGTATATATATGTGTGTGTGTGTGTATATATGTGTGTGTGTATATATATCTACATATGTATGTGTTTATATATAATACTTTATAGGCTATATGTCAGTAAAATATTTGAAAAGTTTTATTCTGAGCCAAATATGAGTGACCAATGGCCCATGCATGATACGGCCCTTGGGAGATCCTGAGAATATGTGCCCAACTTGGTTTTACACATTTTAGGGAGATTTAAAACTTCAATCAATACATGTAAGATGTACATTGGTTCAGTCTGGAAAGGTGAAACTGAAGCAGGAAGGAGTTAGGGGGCAGGGGCTTCCAGGTTATAGGTAAATTAAAAGATTTTCTGATTGGCAATTGATTGAAAGAGTTTAATTATGGTCTAAAGACATAGAATCAAGAGAAAGCAATGTCTGGGTTACGTTAAGGGGTTGTGGAGACAAAGGTTTTATTATGCAGATGAAGCCTCCAGGTAACAGGCTTCAGAGAAAAGTTTGCAAATGTTTCTTAACAGGCTTAAAGAATCCATTCTATCAGTCTTAAGGTCTGTGTTGATGTTAATGCTGGTCAGCTGGGCCTGAATTTCAAAAGAAAGGAGGGTATAAGGAGGCTTATCTGACTCTTCCTTTCTATCAGGGTCTGAACTAGCTTTTCAGGTTAACTTTAAAATGCCCTTGGCCAAGAGGTGGGGTCCATTCAGTTGGCTGAGGGGCTTAGAAGTTTATTTTTAGTTTACATAGATACACACACACCCACAGAGAGAGAAGAGGAAGGAAGGAAGGAAGGAAGGGAGGGAGGGAGGGAGGGAGGGAGGGAGGGAGGGAAAGAGGAAAGGAGGGAGAAAAGGAGGGAATGGGAGGGTAAAGAATGAGGCAGAAACAAAACGGAAATACCCTTCACAGCTAACCTGTGCATTTGTGCTGCCATTGGGCTTGTCATTAGTTGTGTTGGTTGTTCCTTGCACAAGGGCAGCCAGACTAGTGAGTCAGGGCTGAAATCAGTTCCTGTTCCACTTGGAAACCACATGCTCTGGCACCCATCTGCATTTGTGGGGAAAGTGACACCTTTTTCTAATTCATGCAAAGACACCATATGGGCTACCTGTGGCCTGGCAACAGAGTCTACCACTTATACCCACAGAAGATTAAGCATTTGTGCTCATCATTACCCTTTCCAGCCACTGTCTTTTAAAATCTAGTGACACTTCAGTGCAAAGTTGTTTAACTGATACCTTGTTTTTGGTGAATTGAGTAGATACTGGCAACCTAACAAACCACGAGAATTTGGACAGAGGCATCCCCAAAAAAGCAGTGAGGAAAGGAAGTGTTTGCAGCTAAAATACATTTAATTACATCCTGGGACCACTTCAACATCTTAAGCATGTGGACCACAGCTACCTCTTCATTAGGTGTTGCTCTCTATTTGATTTACAGAATGCAGGGTCAGCACTTGTGAATTAGCGTCGTGAATAAGACATTCATAAAACCTTATCAGTTCAGAACCGATGCTAAGACAAGACGCAGGTCTAGAGCTCATAAGACTGGTGACAATTTCACTTATTTATGTCAGAGAAATGTTACACCTGTGTTTTTATAGCATAAAGTTGGTGAGCCTTCCTCTGTGCAAACCTCATAAGCCAGACAACACATGCAATTAATTGACAGAGACAAGAGAATCCCCATTTCTGTTTTCTGCATGGCTGCTTTGCTTACATTTCAGCATACTTTACCTCAGTTTTATTTTTGAACTTGATCTAGTTTGGATTTTGTACACCCCTAAAAATTACCTAAACTCAATTGTAACACTAGACTGCTGCTGAACGTCATGCTTATAGAGTTGGAAGTGTTCTGTTGAAGGATCATTTATCCAAAAGCAACAGCAAAGATTTATCGATACCTAGTAAAATTCTGCCATTCCATCCTTCACTGTCCAGCTCCCTTCTGAAGATCGGATATTCTTTTAAAGGCAAATAAGACGCATAGTGGTATTTTACTTGGAACCTTATGAGAGAGAACTCAATATATTTGAAGACCCTGGCATTTGTTTTTAAAAATACTTTATTGTGTGTGTTTTTTCTTTCCCCATCATAGCATTGTTAGGGGAGAAAATTGCATTATTTAAAAGTATATTATGTTAGAAGCCAGAAGTCTTGAGCTATATTTCTCTGCTGTCTGTATAACCCTGAGTCCATGGACAAATAAATTTGCTTTCCTGAGCCTTTGTTTTCCTGTTTAGAAAATGAGACAATTGATCTAGATAAAATTTAAGCTCCCATCCAATCATAAATGTTCCATAATACTAATGTAGAAAAAGCAGGTTACTCAGAACTATTTCTGAATCCAAAAAGATAGATAGATAGATAAAGCTACTTTATAAATTATGAATTTTTTTTGTAGAGTCTGAGACTTTATGTAAAAGAGAAAGAGAGATGGACATACAGAGAGAGAGAAAAAACAAAACAAAACGAAACAAAAAACAGAGAAAGAGGTGCTGGATATATTTGGACCCTCCTTTGTGAGAAGGGAAAAGATGATCCCAGGAGAAGATGGGATCATCTCATCCAAGAAAAGATGATCAGCTAGAACCAGATTGCTGGGGTAGTCTAGAACAAACATTTCAAAAGAGGTTCACTACTTTATGAGGAGACAGTTCTCAAACAAGAGGATACTCTGTGAATAGATGTATTAGAATTTATCAACAGAAGCACTCTTTCTTCACCCCTTCCAGCTATAGTACCCTGAATATTTTGATATTTTAATGCAAAAGAAGACATATTTCCCTAGGTTTTAATTTTTGACTACCCAAGAAAATTATCAACCTGTAAATTGCTTTTTTCTCTATATTGATATAATAATTAGAACCAAGCTAATCAGATGTGCCATTATGTTCTTTCCTTCACATCATAGTGCCAGGCAACATTGAGGGGACAGCTGGCCAGCCTGATGCCAAAAGAGAGGCATCTAAGCCTCTTCAGGCAACTGACATTTATAGGAATTATGGTATAGCATCAATAATTCACACAACCTCACAACAAGTGCTGGTAAGCAGCTGGTCTGTAGACAGGGGCCTCATCACTTACTCATGTTTGAGACATTTATACTGGTTCATTGCCTTACCTTAAGGCTTCTTTAATTGTAGGGACCACGAAAAGAATGCAGCAACTAGCAATTAAAGCAAAAGTGCTGCTCTGCATTATAAGGGTATATGTTGATTACTTCATGGAGAGGGTGATTGGCTTTTGAAACCCTAAGTGAATGTTTGGTCACAAAAATCTAACATTTTAAATGATCAATTTATTTCTGTTTATCATTTCCTTGAGCTGTGAATTGAAAAGAAAAAAACTCTACCACTTATTTTATAGAATCTTAGACATTTAGTATTGAATGTTTCCTTAGAAATGATCCAATTCTTTATTTTGTTTAAAAAACAAAGATCTAGAGAACTAAAGTAACTTTCCTCAAATCAGACAGCTGGTTAGTAAAAGTTTTAAGACTAGAACTCAAGTTTGGTGAAAATGTTTCCCCTAACTGACCTTTGCATGCACAAAGTTCGACTGATTATAATCCTTGGCTTGGGACAGACTGTCATTATTCATCAATAACTTATCAACTTTTATTTTACAATAATATAATAAAGGCTTATGGACCCAGCAGCCCTCCAAACAGCAAGGAGCATGTCAATAATATGCTGAACTTATGGTCCTTCTCATTCCCCTTTCCTTCTCCCTTTGCTACCTAGAAGTAACCAGCAACCTGAATCCTGCATTTTCTTGATGTACTTTGCATAGTTTTATGGCATGTAAATGTATGTCTTAAAAATATATTTTTAATTTATAAAATGTGTATCATGCTGTATATAACATGACATAATATTGCCAAGACTCATCCATATTGTTGTATATGCCTGTATCATAGTGTATTTTTCACTCTCCCATTAATAAGCTTTTGGATTCTCTCTAAGTTTTTTCCATTGTGAACAGTGCTGCTATGAATATTCTTGTAAATGTCACCTATTCCAAAGGTGCATGAGTATCCCAGGGGTATATACTTAGCAAGAATTTCTTGGTATAACACTATACAGTTATTCAGTTTCAGAAATTAGTGACAAACTATGTCCCAAAGGGGTGGCACCAATATGGACTTTCACCAGCAGCGTGGAAGATCCTGTAGATTGTATCTATCTGGCTTTTACTGTAGAGGGCCATACAGTCATTATTGTTGGCTCTATGGGCCTCATATGGTTTCTTTGGCAGCTACTGAACTCTGTCATTGTAGGTAAAAGTAGCCACAGGTAACACATAAATGAGTTTCATAAATTTTCACAGTATAAAATATTGTTCTTCTGCTTCTTTCCAACCATTTAAAAGTGTAAAAAACATAATTTGTGAGTCACACAAAAACAGGTGGCAGACTGATTACTTTTTCTTTCCTCATCCTATCTTCTTTTATTTATTTTTTATTTATTTAAAAAAATTATTGATAGCCTGTTACATGCCATAACCCGTTCCAAATTGATATGGTTTGGCTCTGTGTCCCCACCCAAATCTCATGTTGAATTGTAATAATCCCAATGCATCAAGGGCGGAAGCAGGTGGAGATAATTGAATCATGGGGGCAGTTTCCCCCATGCTGTTCTTGTGACAGTGAGTTCTCACAAGATCTGATGGTCTTTATAAGGAGCTTCCCCCTTCGCTTAGCACTCATTCTCTCTCCTGCTGCCCTGTGAAGAGGTGCCTTCCGCCATGATTATAAGTTTCCTGAGGCCTCCCTGGCCATGCGGAATGGTGAGTCAATTAAGCCTCTTTTCTTCATAAATTACCCAGTCTGTTATTTCTTTACAGCAGCATGAGAACGGACTAATATACAAATACTGAGGATTCTGTCCGTGAACAACTTATAACTTTCCTGCTCTCACAGAGTTTGAACTCTAATCAGAAGAGGCAGAACATAGACAAATGTATATATTCTAAGCAAGTCATGATAGGTATTTTAAAGGCAGATTCAGAGAAGTAGATGCTGGTGGTAGGAGGTAATAGTTTACATAGAATGATGAGGAAAGCCCTGTTTGATAGAACAACACAAGTTGAGTTCATTTTTAAATGAGGGATTGGAACATCCAAGTATCTGAGGAGAAACTACTGAGTGAGAGAGAGCAGCAAACCTCTACACCTCCTCCCCTGAGCTTTTATGGTTCTAATAGCATGCTGATATCTCTTCCCAAATATTCCACAAGCTCCTTTAAGTCTTCATTTGCCAATCTAAATTTATCATCTACTACAGCCTTGGATTTCCTAACTTGGTGAAGGGCACCTGTGTGAACTCATCACTCAAACCAAAACCCTTCAAATTTTCCTGCATCTTAGGTTGCCTTTTACTCCAAGCATCAATTTACTAAACAAGTAATTTCATTTTTTCCCTTAGTATCTGTATTAGTTTCCTAGGGCTGCCATAACAAAATACCATGGACTGGGTAGCTTAAACAATAGAAATGTATTTTCTCAACTTCTGGAGTCTAGGATCAAGGTGTCTGTAGGTTTATTTTTTTGTCTGTGGCCTTTCTCCTTGGCAGATGACAGCTTTCTCTTTGTGTTTTCAAATGGTCTTTCCTCATTTCCTCTTCTTGTGAAGACATCAGTTGGATTAGATGAAGGCTCACCTTCCTGGCCTCATTTTAGCTTTATGTCCTCTTTAAAGGTCCTATCTCCAAATATCGTCAAATTCTAAAGCACTGGGGATTAAGACTTCCACATATAAATTTTGAGAGGACACAATTCAGCACATGAGTATCTTCTAATCTAATACCTTTCCTCTGCTTTTATTGCTACCACCTTACCATTTCCTTCCCTTTTTTATTTATGTTTATTGGTTTTCTGATTCTAGATTATACTCTTAATGATCAATTGTCCCCAAAACCAGCAGAATAGTCCTACAAAAATAAAAATGTGATCTTATTTTATTCTGCTTGAATCTTTGATTTGTTCCCCAGTAGCCTTCAGGATAATGTCCACTGGCATACTGTATCCTCAAAGAACTGCACCATCTGCATCCCTGTTCTTCCTCTCACCAGGTAAACTCTCATGCTGTCAGCTACAACAATAGTAAACTATTTGCAGTTCAGGGCCTTTACAAATTTTCTTTGCCTGAAATTTCATCTCTGCCTTAATCCAGTCTTTTTAAGTGACAGATTAATATATTCCAAGAAGCATGGCTCAATGTCATCTATGAAAAACATTAGCATACCATCATTTTCACCATTGTCTGAGTTAGCTGTTCTTCCTCTGTCTCCCAGGTCATGATATCTTTCATATCACTGACATTGTATAGGATAATTATTTCTGCCTTGGACTAAGTGCCTGTGAACAGGGACTGTGTCCTGATTTATTCTTACATCTTTAGTGCCTAGCAAAGGGCTGCTCCTCTTAGGCACTTAGTAAATATTTGTTACATGAGTGAATGAATAAATATATAAAGGAATAAAAATGATTAGATAGAAGAAACATTTTTGTATATTATTTTGATACTCTAAAGCTAATATTCTAATGGTAATCAATATAGTTTAAAAATAAACCATTCAATTTTACTAAACAAAATGGTGAACTATAATTGGATTACATGGTATAATTATGACAATATGCATATAAAAATTAAAAGCCTACATAGCAAATTAATACACCAATAATTACTAAAAATAATACACTAATAATTAAAAGTGGTTGTTTCTGGTTTTTTTTTTTTGCAAATGATTAAGCTGTACACAATTTATTCTTTTTTTATACTTTTCTGTATTTTTCAAATAAACTTGATTCTATGAAATATCCCATGACCCAATTCATGTTAAGCAAATTTACTACCCTTTTCTCAACATCTTCAAACTGTTTTCTTTACATTTCACTGTTTAGAAAATATAAAATGATATCTGCAACAAATTACATTCTGCTACAAATCCACATTTTCACGACAAGAACAAAAAAATGCATAACAAGGCATAGAGGATAAATTTCTCTCCAACCCACTGTGAAATTTTCATTAAGCCCCTCATATCTTCTCCAGGTCTAGGCCCTAAGGACAAATGAAGAGTCTAATCTTTGATCAAGGCTTACTTCAAGCCAAAATTATCTATTGCTCTAGAGAAACTCTTCCAAATGGTCATACCCTGCTGCTATGAAGGTGACAGTCCTCCCCACTGCTCACATATTGCATAGCTGCAGGATGCGAGGCAAAGACTTGAAAAACAAGATTAAACCTTACTCAAAACATTATTTCCATTAAAATTACATCACACCGAATATCATTACCTAAATATTTTTATCTTTCTGTAACTCTTACAAAACAAACATTACCCTTGAGGCAACCTTGCAGAATAACTTTCACTTAGGAGAAATGAAAAAGGAACAGACATTATAATTGTAGGGAAAGAATAAAACAATAATGGTGCACTTTCTTAAGACCTTCCCTTATTTTTTTTTTTTTCATTTGCTGATTATCCCTTTGGCCAAATAGTAGAACTGTGGAGGTTCAGAGATGGAAGGAACCTTACTGATCATCTAGTATGTATAGCATAATTTACAGTTGTGGAAATTTAAAGCCCAGATAAGCCAAGGAACTTGGTTAATGTACTGATTCTTCTTCCTCTGGGAAACCTAGGAAATGAATTGGATGATAAGTGACATGGCTCTGTTATTAATTTCAGCCATGTGATTGATTTCACAGGTTCTTCAGTTAAAAAGACTTGGGTTCTGTCCCCCTTTTACCACTTACCATCTGTTTAACCTTGGGTAGATTATTTAGGCCTTTAAAAACCTCCATTTCCTCAGTTGTAAAATATCAATTTTAGAGGACCTATCATGTAAAGAGGTGTTAGGATTAAATGACAAATTGCTTAGAACTGTACTTGGGATCATAGTTGGCTACTACTATTGTTGTTGTCATTTATCCTACAGGTAATCCTACTGTTTGAGATAAGGCATTCTGGGAGACAAGATTTAAGAGCTTTTGAAGAAGACAACTTTATCACATTTGCTTCAGACTGTTTAGTGTGTGTCCAGCTTCAATATCTCTCTGTTTCTTAGACATTTTAAAGACTGTTAAAGGAGGAGAAAGGCCAGATTACAACAATTGTTGACATTTAGTGAAGGCTTAGTATAAAACAGGCTCTCTCCTAAGTGAATTTTGTGTAGTAACCCATTTATTCCTGAAAACAGCTTCACGAAGTAGGCAGGCACTGTTCTAATATCTGCTTTGAAGATGAAGAGACAGACGCAGGGGTTGGTTTCAACATGTGAAAGTATATTTTATTATCACCTCCCACATTCACTTCTGCAATTCCAACATTTGCAAGGCAAGAGAGGATTTGCCACCCTCTGGTGTCTCTTTTTTTTTTTTTTTTTTTGAGATGGAGTCTCGCTCCAGTCACCAGGCTGGAGTACAGTGGCCCAGTCTCGGCTCACTGCAATCTCCACTTCCCGGGTTAAGCGACTACCCTGCATCAGCCTCCCCAGTAGCTGGGACCACAGGCGCGCACCACCATGCCCAGCTACCCTCTGGTATCTTGGGTTTGATCTTCTGCTTCGGGCTGTGGCTTCAGGAGCTGGCAGTGGCTTGCGTGGTGGCAGGAGAAGTTCCCACCAGTCCTCTGGCTGTCATAACATGCATTTCATAGCTCTCACCATATGTAACAGTGAGCAAGTTTTTATTTATCAAAAAGGTAGCCTTTGATGAGGGGCTTGACTACCTGCTTATGAATTAACAAATAGCAGATATAAAGATTTCTAAGTCATGCTCTTAGGGCAAGAAAATGCTTTGAAATACTATCTGATCTGCTTATTTTCTGGGTTTTCGCCTTCTCCACCCCTTCCAAGTCAAGGTCTGAGTCTGAGTTCTATTGGATATTCACTACAACTGAGAGTTATTATTGTTCTCAGCTTTGAGCCTTAAACTAGGCTTTTAGAAACTCTAAGCAAGATAGCAGTTTTAAAGGGAAGAATTTTTCCTGAATGACTAAATTAGGTTTTATCATAGTCAAAAGCATAGATTAACCAAGGCAAGCTCTAAAGTAAGAAGCAATATGGTAAAAAGAGAGCATGGTAAAAACAAAGTTCTTATCACATCTTAAATAGAAAGGCCTTTCTATTAATGGTATACAAGAGAGAAAGCGGAAGGAGAGAGAGAAGAGATGGGAGAGGAGATAGGAAGAGAAAGGGGTAGAATGAAGGAAAAAAAGAAGAAATAAAATTGCTGTGAAAGGAGAGCAAAGGATAGCAGAGAGAGGAACAAAGCAAAACCAGACTTCCCTCCTCCCCTCACTTTCTGCTTGGTGCCCAAATCCAGAGCAGAGGCAGAATGCAGAGATACCCAGATTGTTTTCAGGGAACTAAGATAGGGAGACACATAAGGATCATCTCCTTCAATAAAAAGAGCGTTGATGTCCTCATAAATTTTCTCTATTCTTAATGTGTCACTCTCCTCTAACAGCCATAGTCAGTAAACTTTTTATGAATTCCCTTCTTAGCTTTGTGACTCATGTCTAGATTTAGTAGCCCTGATCTCTGTTTATCATCCCTTAACCTTAGCATTCAAATGATTCACCAATTTATGCATGCAATTGTATTGTGATGCCTTATTTTCCAATCTCCAAAGAAGTGTCATTTGGGAAATATTGTACAGGTCTGGATATAAATGTTACTCTATCCAACATGTAACTCATATTTACAAATTGAAAAAGTTTCAGAATTTTTATGGGGACATTTAAAAACGTTAGGTGGCTTAAAATATTCCCTACTGATGTACATCATCTCATTTGAAATAATGTATTCGATGGAAGCAAATGATCTAGTGAAGAGTATTCTTCATCTTGCTTTCCATAATAACTTACGGCCGTATCTCAGTTCTCAAAATGCTTTTCCAATTACAGCTAGCACTTGATCATTTGCGTGCACAGCACTTTACCTGAACGATTGTTGTGGCACTTTTACCTTTCTACCTTGCCACCTGTCCTGAGACCCTCCTCAGAAATCGTAGTTGCTGAGTCTGGAGTAGAGAGGTTGGTGACTATGCAGTAAGGATACACTGTGTCTAACTTAGAATCTTACAAGATGTCACTGACCTCCATCTCCTTTGAAGACTCTCCGTGACCTCTAAAAGTTGGAGTTCCTGAGGCCTTACCCTGGGCTTTCTTCTCTTTGCTTGACGTATAAATGTTTTGTTTTTGTTTTTGATTTTTTGTTTTTTTTGGCAGTCATCTCTTCCATTTCCATGGCACTAAATGCCGTCTTCATGCTGCAGCTCCAACATCTGTTAAGCTCCAGATGTTTATATCTTGTTGTTTACCAGGCGTCAGCATTTAACTGTCTCTCAGGCATCCCCAATCTGACTTGTTAAAAATGAAACTTTTGATCCCTCCACCAGGAAAATGTGTTCTTTCATTATTCATTTAGACAAAAAACTGGCAGTCATCATACACACTCGTCTCTCTTTCTCTCCTTTTCTTTTTCTCACTCTCTTTTACTACCTGCCATATCCAACCCACCAATAACTTCTATTTTTTAAATTTCTGTCAAATATATGTTAAACTTATTGACCTTACATCCACTGCCATCACCCTGATTGTAGCTACTGTCACCTCCATTCAGGGCTACAAGATCTTCTACCCCTACCTACCCCAATCCATTCTCCATGTAACAGACAGAGTGATCTTTTAAAAACAGAAATTCGATTGTTTTGCTTCCCTGCTTAAAACCTGTCGGTGCTTCCTATCATTCTTTGTGTTAGGTATCCACACTCCTTCTCGGGGTCTCAAACCTTGTGCAGAATGGCTTCTTGCTAACCTCAGCCTGAGCCCCATCTCATTCATTCAGCCTTTTGTTTTTTCTGGAACTCACCAAGTTGTTTCTCCTCTTACAACCTTTGTGTCAGAGGCATTCAAACCAGAGCAACTCCATCTTGAATAAGAGCTGGGTGAAATAAGGCTGAGACCTACTGAGCTGCATTCCTGGACATCCTTAGGCATTCTAAGTCACAGGATGGAATAGGAGGTTGGCACAAGATACAGGTCATAAAGACTTTGCTGATAAAACAGGTTGCAGTAAAGAAGCTGGCCAAGACCCACCAAAACCAAGATGCAATGGGAGTGACCTCTAGTCGTCTTCATTGCTACGCTCCCTCCAGAGTCATGACAATTTACAAATGCCATGGCAATGTCAGGAAGTTACCCTATATGGTCTAAAGAAGGGAGGAGTCCTCAGTTCCAGGGAATTGCCCACCCCTTTCCCAGAAAACTCATGAATAGTCTACCCCTTGTTTAGCATATAATCAAGAAATAACCATAAAAATGGGCAACCATCAGCCCTCAGGGCTGCTCTCCCTATGGAGTAGCCATTTTTTTATGCCTTTACTTTCTTAATAAAATTGCTTTCACTTTACTCCATGGACTTGCTCTGAGTTCTTTCTTGTGCGAGATCCAAGAATCCTCTCTTGGGGTCTGGATTGGGATCCCTTTCCAGTAACATTTGTACCATCTCTTCCTTCTATCTAGAACTTTCCCCTGTCCCACCTACCCATGCCCCTCACTCCCAACCCAGCCTTATCCTCCATCACTTACTTTTTGATCTTTTAGGACCAGTTCAAATATCAATTGTTTTGACACGGTCCATGTTCACCCTAAGGAGATCCTTCCTGTTGGTATTTTTTACTAAAATCTATTTATTTCCTGAAAATTACCCATCCTATTGAATTCTTATTTAGTCTCTTTCCCTGTTTCATCTTTTAAGATATTCTTTGAAGGTCAAGTCCATGTCTGTTTTATTCACCACTAACAAGCCCCATTACCTGGGCCCATGGTAAGCAGCTTATTGAATGAATGAATGAATGAATTTCCCACCAATAACATGTGAGTTAGATAGGAACTACCTCAAGCTCATCTCAGAGAAGTGCTTTTTCACATGTCTAAATCCCCCATCCTTCAGCCCCTTCATCACTTTTCTTAAAAAGCACTTGGGGCTGGTTGCGAGTAAGAGTGGGAAATTCAAATTTGCAAAGTTAGTTCCTGATAGTTCGGAAACGTGTGTCCTGGGGATCCAATCATATGATCATTTGTTCTGCTTCAGGTTCTTTGCTAGCCACCCATATCCTGCTCCAGTCAATTCGCACCCTTTAGTTCCCAAGGGCGTAGGTCAGAAACAATGCTCAGTACTTTCAATCCTGGCATTGCCAGCAGCAATAGGTCAGGCAAACACTGGGGTTGCTGGGACCACTTAGAATGTGGAATGGGAAGGAGCAGTTCTAAGATCATTAATGGTTTCAGCATAGAAAAACAAAAGTCCAGAGACCTGCCAAACCCCTGTGGGGTAATTGTGGTTCTGTAAGAACTTGGCCTCTGAGTTCGGCATTGCCTGTAATTACAGCCTTTCTTTCTTTCTTTTTTTTTTTTTCTACTTTAAGTTCTGGAATACATGTGCAGAACGTGCAGGTTTGCTACATAGGTATACATGTGCCATGGTGGTTTGTTGTACCTATCAACTCGTCATCTAGGTTTTAAATCCCGCATGTATTAGGTATTTGTCCTAATGCTGTCTCTCCCCTTGCCCCCGACCCCGCAACAGGCCCTGGTGTGTGATGTTCCCTTCCCTGTGTCCATGTGTTCTCATTGTTCAACTCCCACTTACGAGTGAGAACATACAGTGTTTGGTTTTCTGTTCCTGTGTTAGTTTGCTGAGAATGATGGTTTCCAGCTTCATCCATGTCCCTGCAAAGGACATGAACTCATTCTTTTTTATGGCTGCATAGTATTCTATGGTGAAATTACAGCCTTTCTATTCAGCATCCTCATTTGTAAGCCTCTGAAATGTCTGAGATTATGATTATCAGTGCATAAGCCCTACACTGTGAGCTTACTAAGAATATTTTCTTATGTCTGCTATCATTGGGTGATATGGTTTGGCTGTGTCCCCACCCAAATCTCATCTTGAATTGTAGTTCCCATAATCTCCACATGTCATGGGAGGTACCTAGTGGGAGTTAATTGAATCATGGGGGCGGTTACCCTCATGCTATTCTTGTGATAGTGAGTGAGTTCTCATGAGAGCTGATGGTTTTATAAGGGGCTTTTCCCCCTTTGCTTGGCACTGCTCCCTCCTGCCACCATGTGGAGAAGGACATGTTTGCTTCCCCTTCTGTGATGATTATAAGTTTCCTGAGGCCTCCCCAGCCATGCTGAACTGTGAGTCAGTTAAACCTCTTTCCTTATAAATTACCCAGACTCAGGTAAGTCTTCATTAGCAGCTCGAGAATGAACTAATACATTGGGCTAAAATAAACTGTCCCAATATATAAGGACCACGTTGTAAAAACTTCTCCACTGCTTCCGTCTTTTGCCTAGAACATAGAACAGGGGTTAAACGCTTCCATGGTGTGTAAAGTTGAGTGATAGATTAAAATGTACCATTGGTCAAGAGCAGTAGCTCACACCTGTAATCCTAGCAGTTTGGGAGGCCAAGGTGGGTCAATCCTCTGAGATCAGGAGTTCGTGACCAGCGTGACCAACATGGAGAAACCCTGTCTCTACTAAAAAAATAAAATAAAAATTAAAAAAAAAAATTAGCCGGCATGGTGTAATCCCAGCTACTCGGGAGGCTGAGGCAGGAGAATCACTTTAACCCAGGAGGTGGAGGTTGCGGTAAGCCAAGATGGCACCATTGCACTCCAGCCTGGGCAACGAGTGAAACTCTGTCTCAAAAAAAAAAAAAAAAAAAAAAAATACCATGAACTAGGTGACAAAATAACAGAAATTTATCCTCTCATAGTTCTGGGGAGCCAGAATTCTGAAATAATGATGTCCACAGGGCCATGCTCTTTCTGAAGTTTCTGGGGAAAAAAATCTTTCCTTGCCTCTTCCAGCTTCTGGTGGTTGCAATCCTTGAGTTCTTTGGCATGTCACTGCATCCCTCCCGTCTCTGTCTTGTCATCACATGGTATTCTCCATGTGTGTGTCCATGTTCAGATCCCCTTTTCCTATGAGGATACCAGTCATTGGATTAAGGCTCATTCTTACTCTAACATGTTATCTTAATTTGATTACATCTGCAAAGACGCTATTTCCAAATAAGATCACATTCACAGTTTCCAGGTGGACATGATTTGGGGATGATACTATTCAATGCAGTGTATGAGGGTTCACTTGTATTCAGTTATATCAGGTAATACCATTAAGTGTTTCTTAAGCTTTTAATATTTGAAAACAACCTTATTCACAATAATTGATAAAATAACTACATTTCAGAATTTAAATATACCTGAACAAGAAATGACAAATGGTTGTCAAGTACTTTTATGCTTAGAATACCATGCTTTCCTCATGCAGGAAATTGGAACAGACCCTGGTCATGGGCGTGTTAAATCCTCCTCTTTCATCCACCACTGATCTGTCTCATAACTTGATCACTCCTATGGAACTGACTGTCATTTCTCAGTTTCATTCTAGGAGGCTTAAAAGTTCTACAGAGCAAAAGTATTTTTCTTCCTCTTTTTGCTTTTTTGCTTGTTACTTTTGTTGAGGGGTCAGCAAATGTCCTCTGAAGAGCCAGATGGTAAATAATATTAGTAACATTAGGCTTTGTGGGCCTCACGGTCTCTACCACAACTATTCAACTCTGCCTTTGTAGTGCAATGGCAGCCAGAGATAACCTGTAAACAAATCAGCATGCCCAAGTTCCAATAAAACTTTATGGACACTGACATGTGCATTTTATATAATTTTCATGTATTGTGAAATATTATTCTTCCTTTGATTTCCCATCCATTTAAACCTGTGAAAAGCATTCTTAGCTGGAAGACTGGGCCAAGAAGAGGTGGGCCAGAATTTGTTTTCTGATTTCTGCCAAGTCTTGTTCCCTCTCTCTTGTTGGTTGTCTGCCTTTGCTCCACCTTTTCTGGCATAGAGGACATTCTGCAGGGTACTGTGTTTCATATCCTTTTTTTCCTTTCCCTTCTCCTCCTGCCTTTGACCTTCCCTTTCCTTTTCTTCCTTCCCCCTCCTACTACTATGTCCCTAAAATAAATATTCACTACCCCTAAACTATATTTGATCATTGCACATTGATTACTGTAATCATTTCCTATTTTCTAAAAATTTGATGAGTGTGATGTAGGTCATGGTGATAACATGAGGGTAGTCATTCTCTTATTTAGAGGTAGAAATTAGATTTAAATTTCTGGCATAATATAAGTATGAATTGTAATAATCCCCTGAACATTATTAGAAATGTAGATTTTTTCTCTTCTGAGTGATCAGCCTCCAAACATATCCAAAATTGGAGAGAGCACTGTAAAAGTCCTGTGTCCCCGTTACTCAGCCTCAACAGGTTTCCATTCACAGCCAATGTTGTTTTATTTGTACCTCTGTCTCCTCCCTCCTGTGAAATTATTTTGAAGCAAATTCCAGACATCAGTATTTTCACTGGCGTCCCTGTGAAGAGACCACCAAACAGGCTTTGTGTGAGCAGCAAGGCTGTTTATTTCACCCGGGTGCAGGCGGGCTGAGTCTGAAAAGAGCCAGCAAAGGGAGATGGGGTGGGGCCGTTTTATAGGATTTGGGTAGGTAGTGGAAAATTACAGTCAAAGGGGGTTGTTCTCTGGCGGGCAGGGGTGGGGGACACAAGGTGCTCAGTGGGGGAGCTTTTGAGCCAGGATGAGCTAGGAGAAGGAATTTCACAAGGTAATGTCATCAGTTAAGGAATGAACAGGCCATTTTCACGTCTTTTGTGATTCTTCAGTTACTTCAGGCCATCTGGATGTATACGTGCAGGTCACAGGTGATATGATGGCTTAGCTTGGGCTCAGAGGCCTGACAAGTATATTTTAGTATGTATCTCTTAAAGACATTGACTCTTAAAAAAAAATATATATATATATATATATATATATATATACACACCATCATAGTAACATATCTAGAAACAATTAATACAAATTTCTTAATGTCTTTAAATATCCAGTGTTTACATTTCCCTAATTGTCCTGTAATTTTTTTATGTACAATCGGATTGAATTGTAACCTACAAACTGATTAGTTGATCTACTTCTTAAGTCTCTTAATTTTTAGATTCAATCTTTTTCTGTCTCTCTTTCTTTCTCTGTTTCTCTTCCCCCTATTTTAAGTTTATTTGTAAAAGAAAGTAAGTCTTCCGCCTGTGGTGTTTCCTACAGTCTTGTTAACTGATATCTTCCCAGTGGTATGGTCTAGAGATTTGAGGAAATTTATGTTGTATTTGTTTGTTAATAATATTTTATAATTGTTGCAGTATCCTTCCATCAAGAGGTCCAAATGTCTACTTGTCGTTCTTTTGTGGTGTTAGCAGCCATGGATGACCATTAGTGTAATTATTAGCAGTTGCAAAATCATGATGTTCTTCATACAGTTGGGGTATTTATCCCTTAAAAAAAAATGCTACCTGTTGAACTAGATGATTATCCTGCATTTTTATAGGAATTATAGGACAAGTGTTTATTTTTTTCTTTAATAAGATTTCAAAATAAATTTGTTTTCTAGTATTCTCCAAAGGCAATCAATGAAACCTAATGTTTGTTTATTAGGCATTATGTACTTCAGTCTATTTTTTTTTTTTTTTTACTTTAAGAACATATTTTATTTAACCCAATATATCCAAAATATTACCACATCAATGGGCAATTAATATAAAAGTTTATTAATGGGATATTTTACATTCATCAGTTCATCCTACATCTTTTTTTTTTTTAATACTTTAAGTTTTAGGGTACATGTGCATAATGTGCAGGTTAGTTACATATGTATACATGTGCCATGCTGGTGTGCTGCACCCATTAACTCGTCATTTAACATTAGGTATATCTCCTAATGCTATCCCTCCCCACTCCCCCCACCCCACAACAGGCCCCAGAGTGTGATGTTCCCCTTCCTGTGTCCATGTATTCTCATTGTTCAATTCCCACCTATGAGTGAGAATGCGCAGTGCTTGGTTTTTTGTCTTTGTGATAGTTTACTGAGAATGATGATTTCCAATTTCATCCATGCCCCTACAAAGGACATGAACTCATCATTTTTTATGGCTGCATAGTATTCCATGGTGTATATGTGCCACATTTTCTTAATCCAGTCTATCATTGTTGGACATTTGGGTTGGTTCCAAGTCTTTGCTATTGTGAATAGTGCTGCAATAAACGTACATGTGCATGTATGTAGCAGCATGATTTATAGTCCTTTGGGTATATACCCAGTAATGGGATGGCAGGGTCAAATGGTATTTCTAGTTCTAGATCCCTGAGGAATCGCCACACTGACTTCCACAATGGTTGAACTAGTTTACAGTCCCACCAACAGTGTAAAAGTGTTTCTATTTCTCCACATCCTCTCCAGCACCTGTTGTTTCCTGACTTTTTAATGATTGCCATTCTAACTGGTGTGAGATGGTATCTCACTGTGGTTTTGATTTGCATTTCTCTGATGGCCAGTGATGATGAGCATTTTTTCATGTGTTTTTTGGCTGCATAAATGTCTTCTTTTGAGAAGTGTCTGTTTATATCCTTTGCCCACTTGTTGATGGGGTTGTTTGTTTTTTTCTTGTAAATTTGTTTGAGTTCAGCAAAGTCTCAGGATACAAAATCAATGTACAAAAATCACAAGCATTCTTATACACCAATAACAGACAAACAGAGAGCCAAATCATGAGTGAACTCCCATTCACAATTGCTTCAAAGAGAATAAAATACCTGGGAATCCAACTTACAAGGGAAGTGAAGGACCTCTTCAAGGAGAACTACAAACCACTGCTCAATGAAATAAAAGAAGATACAAACAAATGGAAGAACATTCCATGCTCATGGGTAGGAAGAATCAATATCGTGAAAATGGCCATACTGCCCAAGCTAATTTATAGATTCAATGCCATCCCCATCAAGCTACCAATGACTTTCTTCACAGAATTGGAAAAAACTACTTTAAAGTTCATATGGAACCAAAAAAGAGCCCACATCACCAAGTCAATCCTAAGCCAAAAGAACAAAGCTGGAGGCATCATGCTACCTGACTTCAAACTATACTACAAGGCTACAGTAACCAAAACAGCATGGTACTGGTACTAAAACAGAGATATAGATCAATGGAACAGAACAGAGCCCTCAGAAATAACGCCGCATATCTACAACTATCTGATCTTTGACAAACCTGAGAAAAACAAGCAATGGGGAAAGGATTCCCTATTTAATAAATGGTGCTGGGAAAACTGGCTAGCCATATGTAGGAAGCTGAAATTGGATCCCTTCCTTACACCTTATACAAAAATTAATTCAAGATGGATTAAAGACTTAAACGTTAGACCTAAAAACCATAAAAACCCTAGAAGAAAACCTAGGCATTACCATTCAGGACATAGGCGTGGGCAAGGACTTCATGTCTAAAACACCAAAAGCAATGGCAACAAAAGCCAAAATTGACAAATGGGATCTAATTAAACTAAAGAGCTTCTGCACAGCAAAAGAAACTACCATGAGAGTGAACAGGCAACCTACAAAATGGGAGAAAATTTTCACAACCTACTCATCTGACAAAGGGCTAATATCCAGAATCTACAAAGAACTCAAACAAATTTACAAGAAAAAAACAGTCTATTGCAATTGTTACTCTTATTCATGATCACATTGTCCCATGTTCAGCCAGTGGGTGTACCTTCCAGTTGGTTTTTAAATATTTATGACATGACCTTCGTTGTCTGCTGTTTCTTCCTTTGGGATAAAACAGGTTGTTCTCAGCTAATCTCTTGCCCCACATCTGGAGCCTGCTACTTCTCTGCCCCACCCACTTTGCTTCTCTGCTCTTCATTTGGAATAGGAAGCATAATTCATTTACCTCTGTGGAAACTCTGTTGTTTTAGAAGGGGAGATGCCACTCTAGCAGTACTATCAGAGGGTAAATAATGGAACCAACCAATCCAGCAACTCTGGCACTTCTGAAATTTAGACAAGGGGGTCATGTTGTGTACTTGGAATGCACCTGCATTATGTTGTGGAGAGCAACACAGGCAAACTCTGAAAACCACCCTCATGTGTGGCTCACTCTGAGGCCTTCAATAATGTGTTCTTTGGAATTCAGATCTGCTCACTGCACATAGGTTGCAATAGACATCATATTATTCCCATAATAGTCTTCAATAAATGCTTCTGAAACAAATATCAATGAATAAATGACATTTTCAGCTTTTAGAGATGAAAATGACCTAGCCCATTTTGTCTGATACTCCATTTTTACCTCAGGAAACTAAGGCCTTGATATTTCAAGTGATTTGTCCAAGTTCATAGTGCAAAGTAGCAGATTTAATCCCCAAATCATCTGACCTCAAGTGCATCGTTTCCTACTATACCTACTGCCTCTAGACTGTATTAGATCATTTAGCATTAATTATTTTGATCATTGTCCATTTCTTTTTTTTCCTTCCTTCTATAGGGATGAAAAAACTTTCTACCCTCTGAATTTTTGATAATTGAGCCTATGAAATCAACTGACAGTAGACACATTAACATGAAACAGAAATTTTAATTACTGCAAATGCATGGAGTCCCACAAAATATGGGACTGGAAAATGTGTTCGATGACTGAAGCTTATATAACATCCTGAGCTACAGAAAGGAATAGGGGCCTGAGGCTTCTAAGGGTGGTGGTGACACAAATTATGTGAGGTGAGGAAAGGAAATGCATGTCGAGCAAAGGTTACCTTGTCATGCAGATAAAGTCTCTCTGGTAATAAAAGTTGTCTTCAAGCAGCCCTCAGAAGAATAGGTGCGAGTCTGAGTCACAATCTGGGCATGGTGTCCGCCCTTCTTGTGATATAAATCCATCTTCCCTAGTTGATGAGATTCCCAGAGAGACAATTCATGACAAATGTGTTTCTTTCAGAGGACCTGCCCTTCATTAGAAAGGGAAAGTTCAGAAAAAGGTTCTCCCTGCGCTTTTGGGGGAGAAAGAGGGGCAAGAAACGGAACAGAAGAGCAGAGAGAACTTGGTTCTCCTTCAGTTCAAGGCACTCAGGATATCAAAGCATCATATTTTGGGGTATTGTTTTGTGGACCCCAGCACCTCCTTTATTTCTCTTTCTCTCTGTCCCTCTTCCCTTCTCTCTCTCTCTCTTTCTCTCTCTCTGTGTGTGTGTGTGTTTGTGTGTCTCTTCTTTCTAATGTAAATAACATGAGCCTCCTGTGATTGTTGTTCCCATAATAGTGAGTAGCAAGTCTAACAACGGTTCAGGTAACCCCCAGGCAAGCAAACCAAAAAAAACAGCCTGTTCACCGTTCACTAAGCTGTTCGTACAGTACATCCCTATGCCCATTTCCAAGTCTTAGATGACTTTTTCTAGCACAATTCAAAAAGTACTTTATTTCACAATAATAATAATAGAAACTCAGAAGCTTTACTTTCTCACTTACCTAAGTAAGGGTGGTAATGTTTTAGGCTACAGAAATAATCATCACTTACCATAAATGAATCACCTTAGTGTTGCCAGCATACTGAAAAAGCAAATGACAAACAAGATAATTTTGATAGTCACTTTATTGCCTTCCTGTGAAGTGCTAAGGAACGGATTTATTTTCTTGAACGTTTCCCCTTGGAGGATCTGCTGAAATCTTTTTAATTCCGAAATCAGAGATTTGCTAGCTTAGCATTTGGCAAAAATGATGATTTATCCTATTTAAGCATTAAACTATCTATGTCTATTTGGGTTTCAGGTGACCAGATGGCTGAGCAGGGCACCTTTACATCTTTTATTCTTAATTTTATTTCATTAACTCAGCAAGTATTTATTGACCACTAGAGTACCAATACCAGATAACCTGTAAGGGAATAAGGATTAAACAGTGAAAATGGCACCCATAGGGACCTTAACAGAGTAGTGGCTACAACAAATATGTTACAGAGACACTGTGATAAATGCAAACACAGACATAAACATAGGTTGTTAGGGAAGCATACGGAAATGGACAGCTGATCTGCGCTTGGCCTTGCATTGCGGTTTTGGGAAGTGATTGGTATTTTCTGACAAGTGCTTTGAAGCTGAGACCTAAGGGACTAAGCAAAAGCAGAGTGGCAGTGTCCTGCATGGGGGCAGAATTTGCTGGATTTAGAGGCACTTGAATATTTTGATAAGCCTCACAGAGAATTTTTTTTTTAATGAGTGAAATCACCAAATGCATTTGTACTTTTGTTAAAATTAAAGTTGAGAACACCAATTTTAGTCCCTTTGAATATGTTAACTGTGCTATCTTCAAGGTTTTCTTTCTCCAAAAAGCTATTTCTAGCTAATTATCCTCACTAAGGAAAGTGATCTGTCGGACTGTGTTGCTAAGGCTCCTCACAATGGGGGCTGCTGCAGTGACTAGAGACTGAGTCAATGAGGAAAATTAAATACTTCCAGGGACTGATTATTTGGGAATTTTCTTCCAAGGGAAGTTCAGAGAAAGCCCCTCCCTGCCCTTCTGGGAGAAGGGGTCAAGAAACGGGACAGAAGATCAGAGAGACTTTGGTTCACCTTTAGTTCAAGGCACTCAGCATCCCAAGGCACCACACTGTGGGGTATTGTTTTGTGAGGCCCAACATTTCCTTCCTTTCTCTTTCTCTTTCTCTCTGTCTCTCTTCCTTTCTCTCTCTCTCTCTCTCTCTTCTTTCTAATGTAAATAATATCTTTTGTCTCATCAAAGAGTCTTTAATTAAGTCTTTTTCCTGGGTTGGAAGCAATGAGAAAGGGTCACAACCCCGTCAAGGGAAAGTCACATATAACACAGCCCGCAGTGCCCCCAAGGATGTAAATTGCTTGGATGTGTTTAATCTTCCCATGTTTGAAGACACAGACTGTGATGTGAACTAGGGTCAACATGAAAGGCAGCGCCATCTTAGGTGACTTTAGCCTGTTAATAGGGAATCCTCCTGTCCTTTTCAATTGTATATTTTCTGCTGCATCAAAGCTTTTCAGGTAACGGTGTCAGAAAGAGCATAATCTCTCAGGTTAGCCTGGTACAACTTAAGTTTAAACTAACTGCTAACTGAAAATAAAATTCCCCAACAATAATAAAAATTTTACAAAGTTAAACACTAAAGAATTTTTTAAAATATTGCATAAATAATTTGTTGTAGGTTATAAATGTGTTTATTATTTATATGCTGCCTCTCATTATTTAGATGACCCTAGCAGGTGCCTGAAAATGAACGTTTACATTTTTAGGTTGGACCATAATTACTTATTTTGTGTATCTTCTTCCCACTAGCTTTGGTGGCATAAAATTTGTTATTCATCTTCACGTGCTTAAGGCCTAGAACAGTGCTTGGAATAAAGCACATTGTTCAATAAATGGAAGCTCCCATGCTCACGACTCTGCTTGCCCTATAAGGAGACAGTGTGTACACTTACCATAGAATAATTATTATCTTACTGTTCATCTCAGAAAAAAAAAAAAACACAATGGTTTTAAGAAGTACCTTGCACCTTACACATACTTTTATGTTGCTCTGTGAAAAGTCTTTGCAGTTTAGTATCTTATAAATATTGTAAGTAAAGGTCAAATTCCACAGGGGTCTATAATTTCAAATATTACTTTTATTGTTTTACCTGTAAAAATTTTCTAAGTGTTTTTTTTAAACTTACTGTTACAGAGCTATCTGGTAGGATCTATAACCCCATGAACTACATTTTATTATTTATTTTATTTTACTTTTTGGAAAGACAGAGTCTCACCGTGTTTCCCAGGCTGGTCTCAAGCTCCTGGGTTCAAGCAATCCTCCTGCCTCAGCCTCCCAAAGAGCTGGGATAATAGGTATCAGCCACCACACCTGGCCATCAACTACATTTCAAATGGATGTTTTATAGGAATCATCATTGATGATAATGAGAGATATCTGTTGGAAAACAAAATGAAGAAAGGGTTAAGGAGTATTATCAGCACTGTCACGCGTGTCTGTGTGAAGAGACCACCAAACAGGCTTTGTGTGAGCAGCAAGGCTGTTTATTTCACCCGGGTGCAGGCGGGCTGAGTCCGAAAAGAGAGTCAGCAAAGGGAGATAGGGGTGGGGCCGTTTTATAGGATTTGGGTAGGTAGTGGAAAATTACAGTCAAAGGGGGTTGTTCTCTGGCAGGCAGGGGCGGGGGTCAAAAGGTGCTCAGTCGGGGAGCTTCTGAGCCAGGAGAAGGAATTTCACAAGGTAATGGCATCGGTTAAGGCAGGAACCGGCCATTTTCACTTCTTTTGTGATTCTTCAGTTACTTCAGGCCATCTGGATGTATACGTGCAGGTCACAGGTGATATGATGGCTTAGCTTGTGCTCAGAGGCCTGACAGGCATAATATTTATTGAACTTCTGTAGACTAATGGGCACTGTTCTGGGTAGCAGAGATTCATCAATATATAAAATCTGCAAAAGTTAAAACAAACAAACAAACAAACTTCTCTGACATCCTGGAGTTTATTGCCCTTTAAGAAGGTGGTGGGCCGGGCGCGGTGGCTCACGCCTGTAATCCCAGCACTTTGGGAGGCCGAGGTGGGCGGACCACGAGGTCAGGAGATTGAGAGCATCCTGGCTAACATGGTGAAACCCCGTCTCCACTAAAAATACAAAAAATTAGCCAGGCATGGTGGCGGGTGCCTGTAGTCCCAGCTACTCAGGAGGCTGAGGCGGGAGAATGGTGTGAACCTGGGAGGCGGAACTTGCAGTGAGCCAAGATCACACCACTGCACTCCAGCCTGGGTGACAGAGCGAGACTCTGTCTCAATTAATTAATTAATTAATTAATTAAGGTTGTGGGGGAGACAGACAATACAAAATAAACATCACAAAGGAGGAAATTGTTGACTGTCAGAAGGTGATGTGTGCTATAGGAAAAAATAGAGGTGATGTAGGGGTGGGAAGACTTTCCTTTATCCTCTGAGGGTTTGATGAGTGAGTGTACGAAATAATCTGAAGGGAGGCAGATGAACAGGAGAAAAGACACACAAATTTGTTACCTACAGGAGGACATCACTGGAGAGAAACCTGAACACCCAAAAGGCCAGTGAGATTTTGAAGCTTATATACCTTCTTCCCAGGGAAGAAGGTAGAGTGGATATAGTCAAAATTTAGGGGAGAGTAAATAAATTCGGGGAAAGACAAATGGCCCAGAGCATAGGGGATAGTCTGAGTGCAGGGTTCACCTCCAGGCTCCCCTCTTGTTTTTTGTTGTCGTGGTGGTGGTACTGGTGTGAAGGGTGAGGACAATCAGTGTGTTTTTCCCCTCAGAGCAAATTGTAAAGCTAAATTAGTCATTATTTAAATTTACTATAGTTGCCTTTATAAAAACTTTAAATTTACATTATACATGTTGAAATTGAAGCTATGCAATTGTAATATAAACACGGATTTACAACTAAAGCATGTTATAATGTAAATAATTGATTTTCTGTATGAAATCCTAGGCAATATTGTAAAATTGTACAGACCCGTCAACTTTTTCCACTTAAATATTCTGAGTAAAGTTTAAGGGTGTTGTAGTTTTCAAGTGGTTTTTTTTCTTTGTTTGTTTGTTTCTTTTTGTCTCTTGTGATCCAAGTTTTCTTCTCTGGTTGGTGAGATTACTGGGGCAAAGATTTCTTGACAATTGAGTTCCTTTTGAAGGATCCTTCCTAAGGCCGGTAATGGGAGCTCAGAAAAAGCTCCTCACTGCATTTGCTGTTCTCCAGGTGCCCTCAGTTTGAAGCAACCAGCATGCCACAGTGGCACATTTTGGGGTGGTATTTTCTTAGTTCCCTCAAAGGTAAAATGCAGAGTGGGTTATATGTTTAAACAGGACAGTTGGGTGGGCCTCAGTGAGGACGTGCCCTGTGAATAGAGGCCAAACAGAGATGAGAGAGCTAGCCCAGGGGAGTTTTAGGGGAAGCATCTTCTAGTCAGAGGAAACAGCCCAGGCAAACGTCCTAAAACAGGAGCATCTGGCATGTTTGTTTGTTGGTTGGTTTGTTTTGAGATAGAGTCTAGCTCTGTTGCCTGGGCTGGAGTGCAGTGGCATGATCTTGGTTCACTGCAGCCTCTACTTCCTGGGCTCAAGCGATTCTCCCACCTCAGCCTCCCAAGTAGCTAGGATCACAGGTGCACGTCATCATGCCCAGCTAATTTTTTGTATTTTTGGTGGAGACAGAGTTTTGCCGTGTTGCCCAGGCTGGTCTCAAACTCCTGAGCTCAAGTGATCTGCCCACCTCAGCCTCCCAGAGTGCTGGGATTACAAGCATGAGCCACCACGCCTGGCCCATTTAGCATATTTGAACCACAGTTAGGTCAGTGTGGTGTAGTAGATATTAGGAGTGATTTTTTTTTTAATGAAGAGCAAGCAATACGTTATGAAGTATCCTTAAATAACAGGGAGCGTTCTCTTTAAGGTTCCTCAGGAATGGTCAGTCATGGATCCAAGATGACATTTACTTAGCCTCCAAGTTTGAATTCAAGATCAAAATCTAATTACTGTTACAAGCAACAAGAATCAAAGAGTAACATCTCCTTGCTACACAGGTTAGAAGACTCCTTATTGCCACACAGATGAATTCTTGACTAGCAAATGCACATAAACCACATCCCTACCCAGTGTGAGTGAAAAAGGAAAGGGAAGATTAGCTTGTCTAAGTATCGATGTAAATGTAGTCAGTAACTCTAGCTGTATTTTAAAAGGATTTTAACATCTCTACAATGGAATAAAAACATTAACGGATATCCTTCTTCCTAGAAAATGGCTAATGCTTTCCTACAAAAAAAGACACATATGAGCTCCAAATTGTTCTTCATGTGGGTGAGAATGGTCTGTCATTATTTATACTTGTTCACAGTGCTTCATCTGTCATCCATCTTTGGGCTGTAATTGTGAGCTTAAAAATAATCACTATTTTCCACCACCTGCAGAACATAATCTGCACTTTGAGCTCATTTCCTCAGTGTTCCCTACAGAGTTCCATCTGCTTTACATACCTTATTTCTCTACACATGATTAAAGCTGCTGATGCTACCTGAACTGCATACATAGCTGGCATTATGGAATGCCTCAAACTACCACAGCGTGCTGTGGTGAGATGCCTTTCCTATCAGAGTCTAGGCTTACAAAAATGCATGAAGTGTTTCTCATATATTGCATATTTGGGGTGAAAAAAGACAATGACAGCCAATTTTTAATAAGTTATGTCAGGGAGATCATAATTATTGATCTTCTAAACAAAACTATCTATAAATATATGGTCTTCAACTTATCCACCGGGAAGACAGATGAAAGTTTCAAATGGATCCTCTTACAAATGACTAAAAAACACTGCATCATAATCTAACATTATGTTGAGTCTTTTTGCCTGAATGTTTTCTAAACAATTTTGTAGAAGTTAGTTAATACTTTAAATAACTAGACATTGTAACTAAGAAATTATTTTGTAAGTTATTCAGGAAAGTACACATAGCTCTTATAAAATGACCAGTATTTGTTAGTTTCTTTTATAAATCTGAATGTTTATATAAAGTTTACCTGAAATAAGATACATCTTGCTTTCATATGGAATATTTCATGTTTGTTTCCAATAGCCAAATTAAGAAATATAATTTCAAATATAAAATTAAAGCTTATGTAATTTTCTTTCTTTTTTTTTTTTTTTTTCTGAGACGGAGTCTTTCTGTTGCCCAGGCTAGAGTGCAGTGGCCTGATCTCGGCTCACCACAACCTCTGCCTCCCAGGTCCAAGCGATTCTCCTGCCTCAGCCTCTTAAGTAGCTGGGATTACAGGCATGCACCACCATGCCTGGCTAATTTTTGTATTTTTAGTAGAGGCTGAGTTTCACTATGTTGGCCAGGCTGGTCTCAAATTCCTGAGCTCAGGCAATCTGCCCGCCTTGGCCTCCCAAAGTGCAGGAATTACAGGCGTGATCCACCACACCCAGTCAAGCTTATGTCATTTTCTAATTCTACTCTCCTTTCTCAACTCTTAGAATATTTTATTGATATCTGTGTTCTTAAACTTTACAAAAGTGACATCATGCATTAAATGCTCCTCTTACTTGCATTTTCTACTCAATGTTCTGATTTTGAAATTCACTCATGTTTCATAAATATACTTCTAATTGTTTTATTTTCAAATATTTTATAACAATTGTATAACCATAGCTCAACTTATTTTCCACTCTTGTCGGCTGGCCTTTTATGTTGTTTTTATTTACTATTGCAAACAATATTTACAAAATATTTAATGTTCAAGAATTCCTTTAGGATATATAACTAGAAATAATTATTATTATGGGATATTCTCATCTTCATATTTACTTTTTATTCCAAATTATTTTCCAAAATAGCTCCAAGAATCAGGGTATAGGTGTTCATATCCTCAAGAACTCTGGATACAGCCACATTTTTAAGTATTTGCCAACCTGACAAACATAAAATAAAACCTCATTGTAGTTCTTCTTTGTATTTCCCTGGTTACTGTGAAGATGTGCATCTCCCTGAGTTGATTAACCATGTGGTTTACCCATTTGTAAATTACTGGTCTATGTTTCTTGCCTATTTTTCTTTTGCGTTATTTCCGTTTCTGTTAACTACTTGTAGAAGTTCTTTATGTAGCTGGATACTAATATTTGTTAGACATATATCTTACAATTATCTCTTCTACTCAGTGGCCTAAAATTTCACATTCTTTATGGCATGTCGATGAAGAAGAGAGCTGAATTTTAACAAAACCATATGTACCCATTTCTCCCATTAGAGTGCTTTTCTTACACTTTCTTTAAGAAATAATAGAAAAAGCCGGATGCAGTGGCTCATGTCTATAATCCCAGCACTTTGGGAGGCCGAGGTGGGCACTTTGGGAATCTGAGGTCAGGAGTTCGAGACCAGCCTGGCCAACATGATGAAACCCCGTCTCTACTAAAAATACAAAAAATTAGCCAGGCATGGTGGTGGGCACCCATAATCCCAGCTACTTGGGAGGCAGAGACAGGAGAATCGCTTGAACCCAGGAGGCAGAGGTTGCAATGAGCCAAAATCTCGCTACTACACTCCAGCCTGGGCAACAGAGTGAGACTCCGTTTCCAATAAAAAAAGAAATAATAGAAATGTTATTTTGTGCTTTCCTCTATGGATTTTGAAGGTCTGTGTTTCATTAGGCCTTGAATCCATCTGGAACAATTTTTATGTAGGGTTAAAGACAGGGATCTAATTTTATTTTTTCAATATGAATAAACAATTTTAAATTTCTCATAAATATCTGACAACAGGTTGCATTTATGTCAAGTTTACATATATACACAGACTTTGCTTTAAGTTTTTAAAAATTTGTTGCATTATTTTAATTGGCTGTGCCTGTACCAAACCTGCTTTAATCATGATTCTTGATAGGCCAATTGTCTCTGCATTGTTCTTCAACAATGTCTTGGCTATTCTTAGACCTTGGCTCTTAAATACAAATTTTTTCCACCAGTTGCTCAATTACATTTATATACACACACAAATTATTGGGATTATGATTGAAAATGGAATTAATTTATATACTAAGTTATTGATTCTTCCAGTCTTTGAATATGGAATATTCCTTTATGTGATTCTTCTTTAATATTATTCATTAAAGTTTTAAATTTCTCCCAATAAGTTCTTGCATATATTTTGTGAGATTTTGTTTTATTACATCATAAATTCTATTTTTAAAATATTGTATTTTCTCATTAGTTATTATTGGAAATATAATTGATTTTTGTATATTGTTCTTATATTGAATAATCTTTTTTAAGCTGTAGACTTTTCTAACAGGTTTGAAAATTTATCAGCTCCCCATCTTCTCTACAATTCTTAGGATAATGATAATGATTATTATTATTATGTTTTACTTTCTTTTTCTAATGACTAAGACCCCAACATAATGTTGACTAGAAACAGTGATTATAAGCATTTCTCTTTCTGATGAAAAAAAAAGATTCTAATATTTTGTGACTAATTCTTTGAACCTTCTATTATAATGAAGTTCTTTTACTCTTTTACACATATATAGGGGAATTACAATTTATTCCTATATAGCTCATTTTATTGAAATTATTCTTTATTATTTCTGGTGCCTTTTCTTAATGTACTATGTTGCATTAATTTTTAACATTAAACTATCTTAGTCTAAACACTCCAAGTATAAACCAAACTTGAATAACTCAAGTTTCTAAAATTAAGAATTCAAGCCACATGTGATGGCTTATAACTGTAGTCTCAGTAACTTGGGAGGCCAAGGTATAAGGATTGCTTGAACCTAGGAATTCAAGAGCAGCCTAGGCAACATAGGGAGACACCCATCTTTATCAAAAAAAAAAAAAAGAAAAGAAAAAAGCCTGATTTAGTAGTGCACACCTGCAGTCTTAGCTACTTGGGAGGCTGAAGTGGAAGGATCACTTGAGCCTGGGAGGTTGATGCTGCAGTGAGCTATAATCATGCCACTGCACTCCAGCCACTCCAGCTTGGGTGACGGAGAGGAGCGAGACCCTGTCTCAAAAAAAAAAAAAAAAAAAAAAAAAAAAAAAAAGACTACATCTCCACCAAAAAATTGGCCAGGCATTGTGGTTCATGCCTGTAATCCCAGCACGTTGGGTGGCTGAGGCAGGAGGAGTTCAAAACCAGCCTAGGCAACATAGTGAGAACCTGTCTCAAAAAAAACTGTTAAAAAAAAAGAATGCAAGAAGATATAATTTGTATATTACGATAATCAGAATATATAATATAACTGAGGCAGTACAATGTAAATTCAACAAACCATAGGCACAGTTCTCTTGTGAAGCCATAATTGACAAATATTATTGGCAAATCCATCTTTATTGGATCATTCTTATCAGCATACAAATACATTGTAATGATTGCCCTTTTAAAAATAGAAAACGCCATCACTTTTGATGAAAGAAAATGGCTTGAAAGAAAAATCGTTTTTTTTTCTTCCTACTCTCCCTTCGAGACTGATATAATCAGTCTTTCTTTCACATCAGACCATGGAAACCCTCTTGGAAAGATCATATTACCCATACTTTCGATAAATTCAATAATTAATTTAGTCCTCATTTTACTTAACATTGAAATACCACTTAAGTCCGTTGATGACTCTCTTTCTGTTGAAACTGATCATGTGGCTTTCTCTGATTTTCCTCCCGCCTCCTGGTCTACCTAGTCTTGGTCTCTTTATTGGCTCTTCTATTTCCCACAATTTCTCCCACCTCAGTAAATGGTACCATCATTTGCCTGGATAAATATTCAGTCCAAAATTCTCACAATAATCCTTGTTTCATTTTTTTTTCCCCCTGATAGGTCTCATCCAAAACATGACCAGATCTTTCTGGCTGTATCTTTACATGATAGATTTAAAGTCTATTTTAAAATATTTAAAACAAATTATATTTTTTAATGTATTTCCACTTCTCTGTCACCTCCACTGCCACCATCCAAAGTCTAAGTGACCATCTCCCATTAGCTAAAGTAGTAGTTTACAAGTCATCTCTGTGCTTCCACTCTTGCCCTGCTACTAATTATTGACCACACATGAGCCACAATTACAACTAAAAGCATAAATCATTCAAGTCACACTACTGCTTAAATCTCTGCTGTGGCTTTCCATAACATGTAAGATAAAATCTGAAGACTTTAATATGCCTTACAAGAAACTACAATATCTGTTCCCTGCCTTTTTGTCTTATATCATTTCCTACTCTTTTCTCTCTTTATTGTATTCTGGCAAAATAATCTGCCAGATTATTCCTGCTTCATGGCCTTTCCATTTGCCATTAGTTCATCTTAGATTACTCTTCCCATTGATCTTCATATCATTCCGAAATTTGCTCAAATATTAGGATCTCCCTTACCAATCTGCCTGAAATGGTCTCTCTCACTCCTCAATCATTCTCCTTCCACTTACCAAGCTTTTTTTCACAGAAGATATAAGTAAGTAAAATAAACGTGTTAGATATTTGTTTGTTTTCTGCTTCCCATGTTTGAAACTAGACTGTAAGTTGCCTGAGATGATGGATTTTATATCGTGCTCATTGCCGTACCTCTAGAACTCAGATAAATGGTAAGCATATTATGAGCAACTAGATATATCTTTTCAATAAATGCATATTGAAGATGTTCTTGAGTTTGAAGAAATGATTTTTAAAATATGAAGTAATCTTTTATCTCCACAAGTTTTCTACACCCACGCCTACGATCGTGTGCTAGACCTTTCAACCTATGCTGCAATCTTATAGCCCACTATTCCAGACCTTTCCATTTCTGACTCATCCAGATCCTTTATTTCCATTTACAGAATCCCTCTTGTCTCCAGGGTGTGTGTTCTGAGCAATAAGAAGGATAAAATTGCTCTTATCACCTTCTCCTTCTTCATGCGACACATCCCCATTCATCTGTCATGGTTCACGACAAATGCTCTGTCACCAGCTTGCTCCACAGCTTTCTCAAGCTGGGTTATATGGACCTTTTATTTGGATACACAATATATCTCTGTTTTAGCACTTGTTTCTATTTTGTAGTCTTAAGCTTAATGTCCTCTAACTGCCACTGGACCATAAGCTCATAGAAAACAGGAAAGCAAGTCTTTTTCATCTTTGTGTCCCCAGAGCCTGGCACTACTGGACCAGATCAGGAACTTAATAAATGGCTTGTGGATGCATGAATGATTAAATTATATTACCAACTTATGACATTTTTTATGTAATAGGCTATACATTGTTGCCATTTTAAAATAATATTTTAAAAAGTCTAAAATAGTATCTGCATATTGCCCCTCCCCACCCAAAATGAGTGCCGTGCTGTGAGAAAGACAATAAAAATTTTATGCTTGGTTTGCCACCAAGCATAACCCCACTGAGTCAAAGAGATGCAGGGTAGTAAGGTAAAAACAGCACGCAACCCAGAATTAGGAAAACACATTTCTATTATTTTGCCACTATCTCTTAGTATTGTTTGGTGTAACCCACTTTTTTCTCCTAAGACTTGATTTCTTATTCTCTAATAGAAGAAAGTCAAGATGGGTGCCCTCCAAGATCACATTATTTTGATATTATTTGATAGTCAAAAATTTTCACATAAGAATATAGCTTCCTTTAAGTGGTAGGGTTGCTTCCTCTGGATACATGCTTGTATAAGACTGCAAAGCTTTGAGTTTTGAAAAAACAGTTCTTATTAATGCTATAGCATTTAATTGGAAATCCTAGCTCACATCTTTCTTATAGTTAGTGTTCAAGTGCTGATTGATTGAATCAGGATAATACCATTAAGACTTCTATGCCCAAAGAAAACAGACAAAATTATTAAGATACAGTTGCTAAGATGCAGAAGAAATTTAAAGATATAGAAAATGGAATTTATTCGTTTTATTAAGCAAGCCAAGGCTTATACGCAATATAAAAGATCTTAAGAATATGTCATAGGTTACTACCTACTGTGTTGCTATGAGACCTGCACTAGAAAGATCTAATGCCACCTGTGAAAAGTAACTATAGTAGACCATAAGGCAGCTAAGGAATTCAGACTACACATTGTATGTTGGCCACACCCAGTCTAGCAAGATTTATATATACATTTTAATTTAGAAAGTTCATAATATTCCTTTTGTAAAACAAGGATCATTTCAGAGAAAATATGAAAAAAGGTGGAAAAAATCTCTCTGATTAACAAATTGCACATTAACTGGTACGATGACATGGTTTGAAAAACAAAAATAATACTTAGCTGCAAATACAGGTGTATAGGACACATATAAAAATTTTTCATTAGACTCAGCTCATATACTTTTATTAAAATGTGCATAATGTGAACTTCAGACTGTATATGAATAACATAGAAAAGAATCAGGAAACAGCTATAAAATGTATATATATATAATAACAGCTATTATATATATAATAACAGCTATTATATATATATAATAACAGCTATTATACACACACACACACACACACACACTTATACGATTAAGAAACTGGTTACATTCTGGAAGGAATTGTTTTTTGCTTTTTTTTCACTGGTCATTTTCCAGCTTTATCAGTCCCTGGCCAGAGCTCCAGCCATGCAAGGAATTGAGTTCTTGAGAAGTGAATTACTTGAGGATTACAGATATGTTGAGAATATGGGGTCAGTAGTGGAGGCAGCAGAGGGATTTTTCTAATGTGCTCATGTCAACATGACTACACTGGTTAATCTTGAGGGCCCGTTATTGCCAGAGACAGGAACAGGTCTCCAGAGTATGTTCCATACATGCCCAGTGTTTCAAATATACCATTAAATCAGCAGTATTTACAACAAAATAAATTGTGACAATTTAAAAATAGGTGATTACATGATGAGACAGATACTAAATTCTCAGTAGTTCCACAAGACATTTTCATAACATAGTAATCCAAAGACAGTATTTAAAAAGCATTAGTTAATCCGTGGCTTATTTGTGAAATGAAACTTAGAAATTTAAAATTTGCTATATGCAGTAGTTTCTGTTTGCATTATATGCATAAATGATAACACATATAAACACACTAAATATGGGAATAAGATTCTTAATTTTTCTACTTATGATACTAGCAAAGGAAAATCTGTAGAGTGTAAATACATGTTTTGTTCTAGATGGTGGACACATGAAAAATTGTTCATATCCATTTGTCACTTAAGATTTAATGGCTCTTCCACTGCCCTGAAGGGTGAGTCCCGGACCAGGCAGTATTCATCACAAACTGACTTGAGAGCCGTGGGCCTTAAGGGAATATTGGAGATAGGCTAGCAATATTCCCTGTGGCCCGTTGTGGTGATGACCACAGGGTGACACTCCTTTTCCTTTGGAAGGAGAGAGAAGAGTGGGAAGTGCTGCATCTTGTGGCTTGAGTGACAGCTCAGCCACAGTACAACAGAACAGGTGGAGTTCTGAGGTTTTTGACTCTGGTCCCTGATTGCTGGAGGATGGCAACTCTGGACCTACCTGGGACCTCGGGTGACTCGCCACCCTGAAGGGAAGGACATAGGCCTGGCTGGCTGTGCTACCTGATGATTGTAGAACCCCAGAGCCTTGAGCGAACATAGGCAGCAGCCAGGGAGTGGTTACAGCAGGTCTTGGGGCAACACCCAGTCCTGTGCTGGCTTTAGATCTGACCCAGCACAATCCTAGTGGTGGTGGCCAAGGAGTAGTTGTGTCACTCCACCCCTAGCTTTCAGTGGCTCAGAACAGAGAGAGACACTCTATTTGTGTGGGAGGAAGAAGAAAGAGAACAAGAGTTTTCGTCCAGTAATCCATAGGATTCTTTCAGATCTTGTCCAAGGCCATCAAGGTAGTATGTCTATGAGTCTGCAAGAAACACAGCATTACTGGGCTTGGGGTGCCCCCTAAAGCTGTTACAGCTTAGATCACAATACCCAAGTCCTTCTGAATATCTGGAAAGCTTTGCCAAGAAGGATGGGGACAAAGAAGGTGAGAAGGTGAAGACTACAATAAATATCTAGCTTTTTAATGCCCAGACATCCAAGAACATCTACTAGTATCAACACCATCCAGGAAAACATGACTTCACCAAATGAGCTAAATAAGGTACCAGGAACCAATCCTAGTGAAACAGAGATATGTGACTTTTCAGACAGAGAATTCAAAATAGCTGTTTTAAGGAAACTCAAATTTAAGATAAAGCGGAGAAGGTATTCAGAATTCTATCAGATAAATTTAACAAAGAGATTAAAATAATTATATATTAATTAAAAATAACTAATATATCATATAATTATATATTTTTTAAATTAATTGAATTAAAAAGAATCAAGCAGAAATTCTGGATTTGAAAAAGGTAATTGGCATACTGAAGAATGCATCAGAGTCTTTTAATAGCATAAGAGATCAAACAGAAGAATTAGTAAGCTTGAAGACAGGTTATTTGAAAATGCACAGTCAGTGAAAACAAGAGGAAATAATAATTTTTAAAAATGAAGCACATCTACAGGATCTAGAAAATAGCCCCCAAAGGGAAATCTAAGAGTTATTGGCCATAAAGAGGAGGTAGAAAAAGAGATGGGGTAGACAGTTAATTCAAAGGTATAATAACAAAACCCTAGGGAAAGATATCAATATCCAAGTACAAGAAGGTTATAAAACACTAAGCAGATTTGACCCAAAGAAGACTAGCTCAAGGCATTTAATAACTCCAAAAGGTCAAGGATAAAGAAAGGATTCTAAAAGCAACAAGAGAAAAGAAGCATATAGCAGGCAATGGAGCTTCAATATGTCTGGTAGCAGACTTTTCAGTTGAAACCTTACAGACCAGGAGAGAGGGGCATGACATATTTACGGTGCTGAAAGAAAAAAACTTTTACCCTAAAATAGTATATCTGGTGATGATATCCTTCAAATATAAAGGAGAAATAAAGACTTTTCTAGACAAACAGAAGCTGAGGGATTTTATCAACACCAGACCTGTCCTATGAGAAATGCTAAAGGGAGTACTTCAGTCCACAAGATAAAGGATGTTAATGAGCAATAAGAAATCACCTGAAAGTACAAACTCACTGGTAATATTAAGTACACAGAAAAACATGGAATATTATAACACAGTAACTGAGGTGTAAACTACTTCATCCTAAGTAAAAAGACTAAATGATGAACCAATAAAAAATAAAAAGTACAACAATTTTTGAAGACATAGACAGTACAATAAGATATAAATAGAAACAACAAAAAGTTAAAAAGCAGAAGGATAGAGGTAAGGCATAGAGTTTTTATTATTACTTGTGCTTATTTGTTTGTTTATACAAACAGTGTTAGTTGTTATCAGCTTAAAAAAATGTGTTATAAGATAGTATTTGGAAGCCCCATGGTAACCACAAACCAAAATCAAACAATGGATACACACAAAATAAAAAGCAAGAAACTAAATTATACCACCAGAGAAGATCACCTTCACTAAAGGAGGACAGGAAGAAAGAGAAGACAAAAAAACAACCAGAAAACAAATAACAACATGGCAAGAGTAACTTCTTACTTATCAATAATAACATTGAATGTAAATGAACTAAACTCTGCAAACAGAAGACATACAGTAGCTGAATAGATGAAAAAGAAAAACCATTTGATCTGTTGCCTACAAGGAACACACTTCACCTATAAAGAGACACATAGACTGAAAAATAAAGGGATGGAAAAAGATATATTCCATGCAAATAGAAACCAAAAAAAGAAAAAGAGTAGCTACACTTATAACAGACAAATTAGATTTCATGACAAAAACTATAATAAGACACAAAGAAGGTCACTATATAATGATAAAGGTGTCATTTCAGCAAGAGGATATAACAGTTTTAAATACATATGCATTTAACAGTGGAGTACCGCGATATATAAAGCAAATATTATTAGAGCTAAAGAGAGAGATGGGCCCCAATACAATAATAACTAGAGAATTCAACACCTCACCTTCAGCACTGGACAGATCTTCTGGACAGGTAATAAACAAAAAAACATCAGACTTAATCTTCTCTTTAGACTGAATGAATTTAACGCATATTTATAGAACATTTCATCCAATGGCTACAGATCACACATTCTTTCCCTCAGTATATGGATGATTCTCAAGGATAGACCATATGTTAGGTCACAAAACAAGACTTAAAACATTCAAAAAATGAAAATAATATTAAGCATATTCTTTGACCACAATGGAATAAAACTAGAAATTGATAACAAGATGAATTTTTGAAACTCTACAAATACTGGAAAATTAATATGCTCCTGAATGACCAGTGGGCCAATGAATAAATTAAGAAGGAAATTGAAAAATGGCTTGAAACAAATGATGATGGAAACACAACATACCAAAAAATCTATGGGATACGATAAAAGCAGTACTAAGAGGAAAGTTTATAGCTATAACTGTCTACATCAAAAAAGAAGAAAAACTTCAAATAACCTAATGATGCAGCTTAAAGAACTAGAAAAGCAAGAGCAAACCAAACTTAAAATTAGTGGAAGAAAGAAATAATAAAGATCAGAGCATAAATAAATAAAATTGAAGAAAACAATACAAAAGACCAATGAAACAAAAATTTGGTTTATTGAAAAGTTAAACACAGTTGACAAGCCTTTAGCCAGACTAGGAAAAAAAGATCCAAATAAATAAAATTGGAGATGAAAAAGGAGACATTACAACTGATACCACAGAAATTAAAAGGATTATTGGTGGCTACAATGAGCAACTATATGCCAATAAATTGGTAAATCTAGGAAAAATAGACAAATTCTTAGACACATACAACCTAGCAAGATTTAACCAGGAAGAAATCCAAAACCTGAAGATATGAATATCCAGTAACAAGATCGAAGCTATAATAAGAACTCTGTCAATAAGAAAAGCACAGGAACTGAAGGCGGAAATCTGAAAGCCTTTCCTCGAAGATCTGGAACATGACAAGGATGCCTACTTTCACCACTGTTATTCAACGTAATACTGAAAGTCCTAAGCTAGAGCATTCAGACAAAAGAACAAAATAAAGGGCATCCAAATTGGAGTGGAAGAAGTCATATTATCCTTGTTTGCAGATGATATGATCTTATATTTGGAAAAACCTAAAGACTCCACAAAAAAACTATTAGAACTGATAAACAAATTCTGCAAAGTTGTAGTATACAAAATCAACATACAAAAACCAGTAGCATTTCTATATGCTAACAATGAGCAATCTGAAACAAAAAAATCAAAATGTAATCCCATTTACAATAGCCACAGATAAAATTAAATACCTGGGAATTAACCATAAAGTGAAAGATCTCTATAATGAAAAATATAAAACACTCATGAAAGAAATTGAGGAGAACACCAATAAGATGAAAAGGTATTTCATATTCATGAATTGAAATAATCAATATTGTTAAAATGTCCGTCCTTCCCAAAGTGATCTATAGATTCAGTGTAATTCCTATGAAAATACCAATGACATTCTTCACAGAAATAAAAAAAAAAATTTTAAATTTAAAATTAAAATTTATTTGGAACCACAAAAGACCCAGAATAACCAGATCTATCCTGAACAAAAAGAACAAAACTGGAGGAATCACATTACCTAACTTCAAATTATGCTACAGAGCTAGAGTAACCAAAACAGCATGGTACAGCATAAAAACAGACATGTAGATCAATGGAACAGAATGTATAACCCAGAAACAAATCCACACAGCTACAGCGAATTCATTTTGACAAAGGTGCCAAGAACATACTCTTAGGAAAACAGTCTCTTCAATAAATGGTTCTGGGAAAACTGAATGTTCATATGCGGAAGAATGAAACTAGACTTCTGTCTCTCAACATATACAAAAAGCAAATCAAAATAAAGACTTAAAGCAAAGACCTCAAAATATGAATCTACTACAAGAAAACACTGGGGAAACTCTCCAGGACATTGGTCTGGGCAAAAATTTCTTGAGTAATACCACACAAGCATAGGCAACCAAAGCAAAAATGGATAAATGTGATCAGCTCAAGTTAAAAAAAAAACTTCTGCACAGCAAACAATCAACAAAGTGAAGAGACACCCCACATAATGGGAGAAAATATTTGCAAACTACCCATCTGAGATGGTGTTAATAACCAGAATATTATATAAGGAGCTCAAAATAACTCTATAGGAAAATTTTAATAATATGTTTCAATAATTGGCCAAAGACTTAAATAGACATTTCTCAAAAGAAGACATACAAATGGCAAACAGACATGTGAAAAAGTGCTAGACATCATTGATCATCAGAAAATGCAAATCAAAACAACAATGAAATATCATCTCACCACAGTTAAAATGGCTTATATCCAAAAGACAGGCAGTAACAAATGCTGGTGAGGATATGGGGAACAGGAAATCCTCATACACTGTTGGTAGAAATGTAAATTAGTACAACCACTAAGAAGCATTCAGAACTTCCTTGAGAAGCTGAAAATAGAACTATCATATGATCCAGCAATCCTACTGATGGGTATATACACAAAAGAATGGAAATCAGTATACGGAAGAAATATCTTTACTCTCATGTTTATTGCAGTACTGTTCACAATAGCCAAGATTTGGAAGCAACCAAAGCATCCATCAACAGATGAGTGGATAAAGAAAATGTGGTACATATACACAATGGAGTACTATTCAGCCATAAAAAGAATGAGATACAGTCATTTGCAACAACATGGATGGAACTAGAGATCATTATGTTAAGTGAAATAAGCCAGGCACAGAAAGACAAACATCACATGTTCTCACTTATTTGGGGGATCCAAAAATCAAAACAATTGAACTCATGGACATAGGGTGGAAGGATGGTTTCCAGAGGCTGGGAAGGGTAGTGAGGGGTTGCAGGGGGAAGTGGGGATGGTTAATAAGTACAAAAAATAGAATAGTAAGACCTACTATTAGGTAGCACATCAGGGTTACCATAGTCAATAATAACTTAATTGTACATTTTAAAATAACTAAAAAGAGTCTAATTGGATTGTTTGTAACACAAAGCATAAATGCTTGAGTGGATGGATACCTCCTTCTCTGTGATGTGATCATTACACATTGCATGCCTGTATCAAAGTATCTCATGTACCCCATAAATATATATACCTATGATGTACCCACAAAAATTTAAAATTTAAAAATATTGTATGGTTCCAAAGGAGTTATTGCAATGTGTAATATACAAGTGTTACAAAATAATTTGTAAAATGCATCAACAGTAACTGTTCTATTTCATCAAAATAGAGTTTATATATTATTGTTTGCATGTGCTCACAATTACCAAAAAATTATTTTAAAATGTCAATTACCAAAGAAATTGTTTTAAAATGTCATGGCACTGGACTTGGTGGGCAAGATGGCAGATAGGAGATAGGGCTAATGTGCAGTTCTCACCTGGATGAACTGAACTGTGTGTGGAGACTCACACTGTGATCTGTTGCTCCAAGAACCAACAAAGGAACATACCAGGAAAACCTGAAGGATTCCCAGATCCTTTGAAAGAAGCAGCACACTACTACAAATTTCATGAAACAGGTGAAAAACTGAGCATTCCCAAAGTGTGAGAGAAGGAAAACCTGCCTCCAAACATACATTTCTACTGGGGGACCTGAAAATCCAGATCATGAGATTATGGAAGAAGGATTTAACCTCTCCTGGAGTTGAAATGGATTTAGGGAGTCACATGAAATATAAAAGTAGAAGTAGCAGCAGAAAATGCCTTGCAGGCAGTCCCAGTCTCCAGCTGAAGCCCAGGGAAGCCATCTCTGATGATATCTTATAGGGGCCCTTGGGGAAGGCAGCCAGAGGAATTGGGAAGTAGTCACAGTGCAAAGGAAACTCTGAACTGAAATTTGTAGTTGTTTCAACTGGGCACAAATCTTCTCAGGTGAAGTCCAGGAGACAAGCAGGAGTGGCTGCAGATTCGAGCACAGGAGCCGCAGCCAATGGAGTGGGCAGATGCAAAGGAGCAAGGGCCATGCTTGCTTTTTTAGTGGGGAAGTCTATGTCCTCAGGCAAGGTCTTATTGGGGCACTGTGGGAGTGAGACTGGCCTTGCCAATTGCATGGGGGGGTGGGTTAGGCCTCTCACTAATGGCTATTCCCCACTTCTCTGGTGAACTATATGACACAGCAGAGGCAGCCAAGATGTCTTTTGGCCTGAGAACCACCCTGCATCCCCACAGTGGCTATAGCAAGCCCCAGCCAAGGAGAGGCTGAGCTCAGACCTGCATAACCCTGCCCTGACCTGATAGGATTTCTTTACCCACCCTAGTAGCTGATTACAAAAGATAAACTCTTGGGAGCTTTATGGCCCTGCCCATCACCTGAGAAACTGAAATACTTACCCTGGCCAAGTTAGGGCAAGCTTAGATCCCTCCACTAATACTGCAGCTGTTGCTGTCTTGGAAACACCACCTTCTGGTTGGAGGCCAACCAACTCAGGCCATTACAGCAACTCATGGTAGAATAACCCTGATCCCAGGAAGGAGAAGACAACACCTAATTCCACTGCCTACAAGATACTGGCTAACCAGAGTTCCTGAGCGTGTCCCTGTGAAAACATCACTGCTAGCATAACCATCATTCAAGAAAGCCAGCACACTAAACATATCTACAACCATGGACTCTCACAGAGTCTACCTCACTTCGCTGCCACCTCTACCAGAGCAGGTGCTGGTATCCATGATTGAGAGACCTGAAGATGGATCACATCATAGGACTCTGTAGACATTCCCCAGCACCAGTCTAGAGCCTGGTAGCCCAGCTTGGTAACCAGACCCAAAAGAGCAATAACAATCTCTGCGTTCCAGCTCTCAGGAAGCCCCATCCCTAGGGTAAGGGGGGAAGCACCACATCAAGGGATCACCCTGTGGGACAAGAAAATCTGAACAGCAGATGTTGAGTTTCAGACCTCTCCACTGAAATAATCTACGCAAACGAGAAGGAACCAGAAAAGTAATTCTGGTAATGTAACAAAACAAGGTTCTATAGTATCCCCAAAAGATCATACCAGCTCCCCAGCAATGGATCCAAACCAAAAAGAAATCTCTGAATAGCCAGATAAAAAATTCAGAAGGTTGATTATTAAGGTACTCAGATACCAGAGAAAGGTGAAAACAAACTTAAAGATATTAAAACAAGGTGGGGCATGGTGGCTCACGCCTGAAATCCCAGCACTTTGGGAGGCTGAGGCAGGTGGATCATGAGGTCAGGAGTTCAAGACCAGCCTGGCCAACATAGTGAAACCCTGTCTCTACTAAAAATACAAAAAGTTTGGTGTGTGGTGGGCACCTGTAATCCCAGGTACTTGGGAGGCTGAGGCAGGAGAATGGCTTGAACCTGGGAGGCGGAGGTTGCAGTGAGCCGAGATTGTGCCATTGCACTCCAGCCTGGGGGACAGAGCGAGACTCTGTCTCAAAAAAAAAAAAAAAAAAAAAAAGATATTAAAACAAAATACAGGATATGGATGAAAAATTCTCCACATAAATAGATGTCATAAAGAAAAAACAATCACAACTTTTGGAAATGAAAGACACACTTACGGAAATACAAAAAGTGTAGTGTGGGAAGTTTCAACAATAGACTAGAACAAGTAAAAGAAAGAATTTTGGAGCTCAAAGACAAGGCTTTCAAATTAAGCCAATCAGACAAAGACAAGAAAAAAAAAAGAATAAAAAAGTGAACACAGCCTCCAAGAAATTTGGGATTATGTTAAATGGCAAACCTAAGTATAGTTGGTTTTCTGGAGGAAGAAGAGAAATTTAAAAGTTTGGAAAGCATATTTGAGGGAATACTTGAGGAAAACTTCCCTGGCCTTGCTAGAGATCAAGATACCCAAATACAAGAAGCTCAAAGAACACCTGGGAAATTCATTCCAAAAAGATCATCACCTAGCACATAGTCATTAGGTTATCTAAAGTTAAGACAAAGGAAAGAATCTTAAGAGCTGTGGGACAAAAGTATCAGATAACCTATAAAGGAAAACCTATCAGATTAATAGCAGAATTATCCATAGAAACCTTACAAGACAGAAAGAATTGGGGTGTCATCTTTAGCCTTCTGAAACAAAATAATTGTCAGCCCAGGATTTTGTATCCAGTAAAATGGAGCTTCATAAATGAAGGAGAGATAAAGTCTTTTTCAGACAAACAAATGCTGAGAAAATTTGCCACAACTAAGCCAGCGCTATAAGAAATGCTAAAAGGGGTTCTAAATCTTGAAACACACCAAAATAGAACCTCCTTAAAGCATAAATGTCACCAGGCCTATAAAACAATAACACAATTAAAACAAAACATAAGGTATTAAGGCAACAACTAGCATGATGAAGAAAACAGTACCTCACATCTCACTGCTAATGTTGAACGTAAATGGCCTAAATTCTCCAATTAAAAGATATAGAATGGCAGAATGGATAAAAATCCACCAACAAAATATCTGCTGTCTTCAAAAGACTCACCTAACACATAAGGACTCACATAAACTTAAGGTAAAGGGGTGGAAAAAGATATTCCATGCAAATGGAAACCAAAAGCAAGCAGCAGTAGCTATTCTTCTACCAGGAAAAAACAGACTTTAAAGCCAACAGCAGTTAAAAAAAAAAAAAAAAAAAGACAAAGAGGAACGTTATAAAATGATAAAAGAATTACTCCAACAGAAAAATATCACAATTCTAAATATATATGCACCTAACACTGGAGCTCCCAAATTTATAAGGGAATTATTACCAGACCTAAGATGTGAGATAGATGGCAACACAATAATAGTGGGGGGGCTTCAATACTCCTCTGACAGCACTAGATAGTTCATCAAGACGAGAAGTCAACAAAGAAATAACGGACATAGGCCGACCGCTGTGGTTCATGGCTGTAATCCCAGCACTTTGGGAGGCTGAGGTGGGTGGATCACCTGAGGTTAGGAGTTCAAGAACAGCCTGGCCAATATGGTAAAACCCTGTCTTTACTAAAAATGCAAAAAATTAGCCAAGCAACGTGATGGGTGCCTGTAATCCCAGCTACCTGGGAGGCTGAGGCAGGAGAATCACTTAAACCCCAGAGGCAGAGGTTGCAGTGAGTTGAGATTGCACCACTGCACTCCAGCCTGGGCAACAAGAGCAAAACTCTGTCTCAAAAATAATAATAATAATAATAATAATAATAATAATAATAATAATAGACATAAACTATACTCTAGAACAAATGGATTTAACAGATAGTTACAGAACGTTCTACTCAACAACTGCAGGATATACATTACTTTCTTCAACACACAGAACATTCTCCAAGATAGACCATATGATAGCTTACAAAACAAGTCTTGATAAACTTAAGAAAATAAAAAGTATATCAGGTATTCTCTCAGACCACAGTGGAAAAAAAGTGGAAATTAACTCCAAAAGGAACCCTCAAAACTATACAAATACTTGGAAATTAAATCACCTGTTCCTTAATGATCATTGAGTCAACAATGAAATAAAGATAAAATTTAAAAATTGAGCTGATTGATGATAGTGACACAACTTATCAAAACCTCTGGCATACAGCAAAAGTGGTGCTGAGAGGAAAATTCATAGCATTAAATGCCCTCATCAAAAAGTCTGAAAGAGCACAAATAAAAAAATCTAAGATTATACCTCAAGCAAATAGAAAAACAAGTACAAACAATATGCAAACCCAGCAGAAAAAAAGAAATAACAAAGATCAGAACAGAACTAAATGAAATACAAACAAAAAAATACAAAAGATAAATGAAAAAAAGTGGGTTCTTTGAAAAGATAAACATAATTGATAGACCATTAGCAAGAATAACCAAGAAAAAAAGAGAGAAGATCCAAATGTCAATTAGAAACAAAACAGGAAATATTACAACCAATACCACAGAAATACAAAAGATCATTCAAGGCTACTATGAACACATTTACAAACTAGAAATCTAATGTAGATGGATAAATTCCTGGAAATATACAACCTTCCTAGATTAAATCAGGAAGAAATAGAGATTCTAAACTGACCAATGACAAATAGCAAAATTGAAACAGTAGTAAAAAAAAAAAAAAAAAAAAAAAGCCAACAAAAAAGTCCAGAACCAGACGGATTCGCAGCTGAATTCTAACGGACATTCAAAGAAGAATCGACACCAATCTTACTGAAACTATTCCAAAAGACAGAGAAGGAGGGAATTCTCCCTAAATCATTCTGTGAAGTCAATATCACCCTAATACCAAAGCCAGGAAAGGACATAACAGAAAAGGAAAACTACAGACCAATACTGCTGATGAACATATATGCAAAAATCCTCAACAAAATACTAGCTAACCAAATTCAACAGCATATCAAAAAGATAATACACCATTATCAAGTGGGTTTCGTACCAGGGATGCAGGGATGATTTAACATACACAACCAAATAAATATGATGCATCACATAAAATAATTAACAACAGAAGTCATATGAGCATCCCAATAGATGCAGAAAAAGCATTTGACAAAGTCCAGCATCCCTTTACGAATAAAACCTTCTGCAAAATTGGCATAGAAGGGATGTACCTCAATGTAATAAAAACCATCTATGACAAACCCACAGCCAACATTATACTGAATGGGAAAAAGTTGAAAGCATTCATCCTGAGAACTGGAACAAGAGAAGGATGCCCACCCCCACCACCTCTATTTAACATAGTACTGGAACTCCTAGCTGTAGCAATCAGACAAGAGAAAGAAATAAAGGGCATCAGAATCTGTAAAGAGGAAATTAAAGTTGTGCTGTTCACAGATGATATGATCATATACCTAGAAAACCCTAAAGATTCATCCAAAAAGCTCCTAGATATGATAAATTAATTTAGTAAAGTTTCAGGATATAAAATCAATGTACACAATTCAGTAGCACTGCTATACACCAACAACAACCAAGCTGAGAAACAAATCAATAACTCAATCCCTTTTACAACAGCTTCACAAAGTAATAATAATAATAAAATACTTAGGACTATACCTAACCAAGGAGGTGAAAGATCTCTACAAAGTTAACTACAAAACACTGGTGAAAGAAATCATTAATGACACAAACAAATGGAAACACAACCCAATGCTCATGGATGGGTAGAATCAATACTGTGAAAATGACCATACTGCCAAAATCAATCTACAGATTGCAATTTCCATCAAAGTACCATCAATATTCTTCACAGAACTATAAAAAACAATCCTAAAGTTCATATGAAACCAAAAACAAGCCTGCATAGCCAAAGCAAGACAAAGCTAAAAGAACAAATCTGGAGGCATCACGTTACCCTAATTAAAACTATTCTACAAGGCTATAGAGACCAAAACAGGATGGTACTGGTGTAAAAATAGGCAAGTAGACCAATGGAACAAAATAGAGAATCCAGAAATATAGCCAAATATTTAAAGCCAACTGATCTTCAACAAAGCAAACAAAAACATTAAGTGGGGAAAGGATACCCTATTCAACAAATGGTGCTGGGATAATTGGCAAGTCACATGTAGAAGTATGAAGCTGCATCCTCATCGCTTAACTTATGTAAAAAATCAACTCAAGATTGATCAAAGACTTAAATGTAAGTCCTGAAACCGTAAACATTCTAGAAAATAACATCAGGAAAGTTCTTCTAGACATTGACATAGGCAAAAATTTCATGACAAAGCATCCGAAAGCAAATGCACCAAAAACAAAGATAAATAAATGGGACCTAATTAAACTAAAAGCTTCTGCACAGCAAAAGAAATAGTCAGCAGAGTAAACAGACAACCCACAGTGGGAGAAAATCTTTGCACACTATGTAGGTGACAAAGCACTAATATCCGGAATCCACAAGAAACTCAAACAAATCAGCAACAAAAAACCAATCCCATCAAAAAGTGGGAAAAGAGCATGAGTAGAGAATTCTCAAAAGAAGATGTACAAATGGACAACAAACATATGAAAACATGCCCAATGTCACTAATTATCAGGGAAAGGCAAATCAAAACCACAATGAGATACCACCTGATATGGTGGTTCGGTTGTGTCCCCACCCAAATCTCATCTTGAATTGTAGTTCCCATGATCCCCAACCCAGTGTTGCGGGAGGGACCAGGTAGAGATAATTGGATAATGGGGGTGGTTTCCCTAATCCTGTTGTGATAGTAAGTTAGTTCTCACGAGATCTGATGGTTTTATAAGGGGCTTTTCTGCCTTTGCGTTGCTCTCATTCTCTCTTGCTGCCCTGTAAAGAGGTGCCTTCCACCATGGCTGTTAAGTTTCCTGATGCCTCCTCAGCCATGTGAAACTAAGAGTCAATTAAAACTCTTTCCTTTATAAATTACCCAGTCTCAGGTATTTCTTCATAGCAATGTGAGAACAGACTAATACAGTAAATTGGTACTGGGTAGTGGGGTGCTGCTGTAAAGATATCCAAAAATATGGAAGCAACTTTGGAACTGGGTAACAGGAAGAGACTGGAACAGTTTGGAGGGCTCAGAATAAGACAAGAAAATGTGGGAAAGTTTGGAGACTTGTTGAATGGTTTTGACCAAAATGCTGATAGTGATATGGACAATGAAGTCTAGTCTGAGGTGGTCTCATATGAAGATGAGGAACTTATTGGGAACTGGAGTAAAAGTGACTCTTGCTATGCAAAGAGACTGGTGGCATTTTGTCCCTGCCTCATTCAAGAGGAAGCAGAGCATAAAAGTTTGGAAAATTTGCAGCCTGACAATGAGGTAGAAAAGAAAACTCCGTTTTCTGGTGAGAAATTCAAACAGGCTGCAGAAATTTGCACAAGCAGCCCATCCCATCACAGGCCCAGAGGCCTAGGAGGGAAAAATCTTTTGTGTGTTAGGCCCTTGGGACATGGTGCCCAGCATCCCAACTGCTTCAGCGCCAGCCTTGGCTAAAAGGGGTCAAGGAACAGCTCAAGCCATTGCTTCAGAGGATGCAAGCCCCAATCCATGGTGACTTTCACATGATGTTGGGCCTGTGGGTACACAGAAGTCAAAAACCAAGGTTGGAGAACCTCCACCTAGATTTCAGAGGATGTATGGAAATGCCTGGATGTCTAAACAGAAGTTTGCTTTGCTACAGGGGTCAAGCTCTCATAGAGATCCTCTGCTAGGGCAGTGCAGACGAGATATGTGGGGTTGGAGCCCCCACACAAGACTTTGGACTTGAGCCTTTGGGTTAATGCTGGAATAAGCTAAGACTTTGAAGACCATTGGAAAGGCATGATTGTGTTTTGAATTGTGAGGTCATGAGATTTGGGAGGGGCCAGGAGAAGAATGGTATGCCTTGGCTATGTCCCCACCCAAATCTCATCCTGAATTATAGGTCCCATAATCCTATGCGAGGACCAGATGGAGTTAATTGAATCATGGAGGCAGTTTCCCCACATCTTGTTGTTGTGATAATAAGTTAGTTCTCATAAGGTCTGATGGTTTTATAGGGAGCTTTTCCTCCTTTGCTCAACTCTCATTCTCTCTCCCGCCACCCTGTGAAGAGGTGCCTTCTGCCATGATTGTAAGTTTCCTGAGGCCTCCCCAGCAATGTGGAAATGTGAGTCAATTAAACTTCTTTCCTTCATAAATTACCCAGTCTTAGGTATTTATTCATAGCAACATGAGCATGGACTAATACATTACCTTATTCCTGCAAGAATGGCCATAATTAAAAAATCAAAAAATAACAGGTGGCATGGATGTGGTGAAAAGGGAACACTTCTACACTGCTGGTGGGAATATAAGCTAGTACAAGCACTATGGAAAACAGTATGGAGATTCCCTAAAGAACTAAAGGTAGAGCTACCATTTGATCCAGCAATCCCACTACTGGGTATCTACCCAGAGGAAAAGAAGTCATTATATGAAAAAGATACTTGCACACACATTTTTACAGCAACAGTATTTGCAATTGCAACAATATGGAACCAGCCTAAAAGTCCATCAACCAATGAGTGGATAAAGAGAATGTGGTATATATACACCATGGAATACTACTCGTCATAAAAAGAATGAAATAATGGCATTGGCAGCAACCTGGATGGAGTTGGAGACTATTATTCTAAGTAAAATAACTCAGCAATGGAAAACCAAATATTGTATGTTCTCACTTGTAAGTGGGAGCTAATCTATGAAGACATAAAAGCATAACAATGATATAATGGACTTTGGGGACTTGGCGGGGAAGGGATGGGGTGAGGGATAAAAGACTACGTATTGGGTACAGTGTACACTGCTCAGGTGATGGGTGCACCAAAATCTCAGAAATCACCACTAAAGAACTTTATGTAACCAAAAACCACCTGTACCCCCCAAAATACTGAAATGAAATAAAAATTTAAACATTGTGCTTTCTCAGAAAAAAAATGACAAGACGCTGTAAAAATTTTTAATTATTTTATAAAATAGATACATACGTGCATGTGTATTTCTTTTCAAATCTTTCCAAAATATAATTTTATTGAAGAATAGTATATCAATAAATAAGTTACAGCATGCTACTTTTCTGCTCAAAATCCTCCAATGCCAACAGTTGCTTGTTTTCCTTTGACTACAAGCCAGATCTCTTACTATGACACAGCAGACTGCTGGTCATGCTCGTCCCATGCCCAACCATTTCTAACTCCCGCTTCTTCCTATTCTTCCTTCTGTCACTCAGTGGACTCTTTGTATACCTGAATGATGCCGGGAAAATTCCAGAATTAGAACATTTGCATTTGTATTTCTTCTGTCTGGAATATTTTCCCCAGGCATTCACATGGCTTGCTGGATAACTACCTTACACATTCAAATGTTATTTTCTCAGTGAAGCCTTTTGCAGCTTTTGCTGTATTTGAAAAGGCAATCCCCATTCACAGGGTCTATACTTCCCTTCCTTGATGTAGCTTTTCTCCCAGCCATTATCACTGGCAAACTATATATATATATATATGTTTAATTTTAATTATTTTGCTTACGATCTGTTTTTCCGCCACTAGAATGGAAGAATATAAGCTCCAAAACTTTTTTTTTTTAATCGAATTTTTAAAACTAACTTTGAGACAGGGTCTTGCTGTGTTGCCCAGGCTGATCTTGAATTCGTGGGTTCAAGTGATCCTCCTATCTCGGCTTCCCAAAGTGCTGGGATTACAGGCATGAGCCACCACACCCTGCCCAAGCTCCAAAAATGTATAAATGCTTATTGCACTGTGGTTTCCTTAGATACATTCCCTAGATCTGTATCTGTCATATCGTAAGCACTCAATAATATTTGTTGAATGCATGGGTGTGTTACAAAACAAACATATAACAGATAATGCATAGGGGTTTGATAGAGAAATGTTTGTGGTGAGAGGGGCAGAAGTAGAGTTTAGGGCTGAGAAGTCACTAGGAACAAATCAGTAGAGACTCTTCAATCTCAGCAAATAGGTAATATTTTTAAAGTTAATGAAGTTGTGTAAGATAGAGACTGTAAATGGGTGACCATTTGGTTTTATTTGCTTAAATTAATGCTTGCCTTTATGACCATTATATTGAAAAGACGTTTATGACCCTTTAAAGAAGACATCAGGTTTGAAGGCTATTCCATCATGAGTCAAAGAAAGATTTGGAGTACTACTGCAGGACAAGGCTCTTGATAGAGATTTGTGAGAAAAAAAATAAAAAATGGAAGCAGTGTCAGACACTAGAAAGTTTTATGCCAGAGGCTGACTGTAACAGAAAAGATCAAAACCAATCTAATTTAATTAATGTATCTTTAATTAGGTGAAGGTAAATCTGCAGGTCTGGACACAAATGACAAACAGTTTATCATCAGAATCATGTCAGAAAGTGACAGAATTACTAAAATATGATGTGGCTTCTTTGCTTATCAGAAGAACTAAAGGAAGGCAGTTACAAAGAGGCTAAAGGTAAAACTGGAATATATTTATTCTACAGAAAATATATTACCATGGGGGACACTGTAACTGAACTTTTCTGATTGATTCAAGAAGAGCAAACTGGAAAGTGCTCTAGCAGAGAGGGATGTTGTTATAGATGAAAGGGGTTTAGAGCCTAGAAGATGAAGTCACTTGTCTAGAGTCTCACAGGATAGTCCTGACCAAGCCAGAACTGGGACCAAAATGACTTTAAACTGTTCCTAGATTGAGTAGCTTGGATCTATTTAACTTTTACTTTTTTATTTTTTTATTTTCCTTTAAGTTCTTGGATACATGTGCAGAACGTGCAGGTTTGTTACATAGATATACATGTGCCATGGTGGTTTGCCGCACCTATCAACCTGTCATCTAGGTTCTAAGCCCTGCATGCATCAGGTATTTGTCCTAATGCTCTCCCTCCCATTTACCCTGCACCCCCCAACAAGCCCTGGTGTGTGATATTCTCCTTTCTGTGTCCATGTGTTCTCATTTTTCAACTCCCACTCATGAGTGAGAACATTAACTTTCGTTAATTCCTCTTTCTACTCAACTAATATTTCTGAAGCCCTACTATGTGCCAATTATTGTGCAATCTCTGCTTTCTTAACTTTTAATGTGGGGGGACAGACTTTAAAAAAATAAAATGTGTGCAAGTAAAGGGGAGATGAATGCTAGGGAGAAAATTAAAGCAGGAAGAGGAGGCAGAGAGCAGCTGTAGAATAGGAAAGGAAAGGCTGGCACTGGAAGAGAAGAAGGAGTGGGTCCTGAGGGTGCCGAGGAAAGACAAAGGAAGCAGCAGGTGCAGAGGCACTAAGGAGGGACCCTGCTGATGTGTTTGAGGAATGAAAGGTCCATATGGCTGGTGCCAAAGGAGCAAGGAGGGAGGATTGACATGTGAGGGCATAGAGGCGGGGAGGAGCCAGGTCACGGAGGGACTTCAGCTGTTTTAAGGACTTGACTTCTACTGGAACAAGACCCGCTGCCATTGAAGGCTTTGAGCAGAGTATCAGAATCTCACTTATATTTGAAAAACCTCACCCTGACTCCCGTGTTGAGTGTAGATGTGAGGAGGCAAGGGTGGAAAGCAGCAGACTGGTTAGGAATCAGGATGGCTTTAACCCTAGTAGTGGTGGTGGGTTGGCAGGAGGCGTGTTCAAATTTTGGAAATACACTGAAGGTAGAGCAGAGAGGATTCATGGGCAGGCTTGATGATGAATGCAGAAGAAAGAGAGGCATTAATGGTGACTCCTGGGTTTTGTCTTGAGCACCTGAAAGAATGGAGTTGCCATGTACCAAAATAAGACCAAATGAGGAGGAAGTTCAATAAGTCTCTTTTAATCTACAGCACGCTCTCTCTTGCGCTCTGTCTCTCTCTCACCACTTCTTTCCTCTCTACCCACTTCCTTTGCAATTTATCAGTTGATAAAACTATATTGGTCTATAGAGTTTCCCACGGGCAGGGATTTCATGGAGTATTTCCCTGTGTGCTATTTAATATGTTCCTCTCTCCCTTATAAATTCTGGAAATCCAGAATTTAGGTCTATAGACTTGGTCAAATTCATGCTTGATTTTTATCAATAGTACATTACGTGTAACATTGATTGTGTATTTTCATCCAAAGGTGCATCATGTGTGGTTTCACTTGTGGTTATATTAGCAGCCATTGATAATCATTGCTTAGATCCTACTAAATTTGTCAGAAGTTAGGAAATCATGATACTCTAATCCCACCATTTAGTCTTCTTTTATGAGCTGAAATATCTCCATAAAGACAATATTTGGTTTCATTAAGGTTCCTATAACAAAGAAAGGCCAAAGGCTTGATTCTTCTCTTTATTCGCCAATATTCAAAATAATGAGTTGGTTACCTAGCATCTTCCAAAATTAAACATTTTTAACAATTTTAATAAAATTAAGGATTTAAATATATTTGATATGCCTCAATCCATTGCAGAATATTCTTGTTGATGTTCAGATTGGCCCATCTTTGGCCCTGGGTGTTTTTGAACTGCCCTCAGTCTCTAATTGCTTCTTTTTTTCTACTGGGATATGTTCCTGGCTCATCTTTCATCTTGCACATTTCCAGCCGTAGAAGCCATCATTTCTCCAGGGATCCTAGTTTTATCTTAGAGGAAATGGTATTTAGTGATCACAGTCTGGTGCACGAGGTCAGTCCTTGTGTAGGAGCTTTTTCAGTGCACAGAGGCAAGACATATGCCACATTTAAAATTAGATAACATTATCTTAGGTTCTTAGAGATGCTTCTAACTAAAATTTAAAAGTATATGGAGCTTTTATTTAACCTTATCTATTTTATATCTGCTTCTTTTCTCGCAGTGAAATTTTCAGGGTCAAAATCACCAAGATAATTAGTCACTTGCTTTATTCCACATGTACAGAACATTTCAATAGCAGAGAATGCAATGTCTAATTTTGCCTAAAAGGTCAGTGTGAAGAGAACATTTGTTGACAAGATGAGGATACATATTCTGATGAGAGCAAACACCATGTAGGAAGACTCAGAGGCTTGAAAGAGAGCATAGTTCATTTAGGAAAGAGAAAATCCTGTTCCACCAGAGGAATGATGGATGACAAAGTCAGCAAGAAGTTGGGACATAATGAGCCTGATATTCAATGCTGCAGATGTTAGAGCACCAACAAGATACAAAAGCTTTTTTTTTTTTTCTTTTTTTGCCTTGCTTTCAGGAGGTATCTTGCATTTGTTTTCAATAAAAATATTACTTTCCTACTTTGTCCTCATAAGCAGAACTTAGGGATGAGCAAAGAGCAGGGGGTTTTAAGGATTGCTCTCCTTAACACTGTTCTACACCAGCTCAGTAAAAAGACCATTTAAGTGTGGCTCAATTATTTTCTGACATTTGGAGAAGCATTTGCATACTAATGATCCAGGGTCCTGGTTGTTTTTCTCCCCACAGAGGACAAAGTGTGGACCATAGTGTCTCATGACTTGCAGATGCAGACGCCTGTGGTCGGCTACAACCCAGAAAAATACTCAGTGACACAGCTCGTTTACAGCGCCTCCATGGACCAGATAAGTGCCATCACTGACAGTGCCGAGTACTGCGAGCAGTATGTCTCCTATTTCTGCAAGATGTCAAGATTGTTGAACACCCCAGGTAGGCTGAGAATGGAATGTTACTTTTAATCACTATCTCAGCTGGTGCTTAGAATTGCCTAAAGAATCCAACAGGTGTGGTTCATTATCTTATAGTCTAGTCTTCAGTAGGAAGGAAGCTGTAAATAAGTAAAATAAAATCATTGGGCTTGTTTTCTGGGGAATGAAGCTAAGAAAGAATGATTTTGAGGAAAAAATAGTCCATTGTTTTAAACTTACGGATTTTTAAATTGTATGTGCATATATGTTTCTAGTGCTTAACTGTCAGTAGTGGCTGTGGGACAAAGTTTATCAGAGCTCCTTGTGAACATTCAAGCAATTCCCTTTGAGAGCTTCAGGTGTCTTTATTGTAAAGATGAAAGCATTCTAAAAATTGTCTACAGCCAAATAGGATATAGAATAGCGATAGAATTTAGAGCTCTTTCTTCCCAGTAGTTGCTTCACAGTACCTGTTTGTCTCAAGAAGTCTAGCCTGATTTTTTGTTTTCATGATGGCCAACTTTTAGCATGTGCTAGTGTGTGTGTGAGTGTGCACATGCAAACACACATACATGTGTGCAAGACTGTGTCCGGGTGTAGAGAACAGAGAGATTCCAAAAGATATACTGGAAATAACTTTACTGCAACAAGTTCCATATGCTCTGGGAGTCTTGGCAGTAAATTCGAGATGTTGTCAGAAAACTGCATCTCTGTGTCTGTAGTAAAACACAGTGGAAATAAGTCAAAGAAACATGAGCTCATAATTTCCAACCTTACCACTTCCCAAGTATGTGACTTTGGTGGAGTGAGTTGACCTCTTTTTAAAATTTTACCTTAATTGACAAAATTGTATATGTCTTTCGTGTACAATATGATATGATATATATATATATATAGTGCAATGGCTAAATCA